>NW_013171809.1:0-109323 GCF_000001405.40 Homo sapiens
CTCGGCTTACTGGAAGCTCTGCCTCCCGGGTTCAAGCGATTCTTCTGCCTCACCCTCCCGAGTGGCCAGGATTACAGGCGTGTGCCACCATGCCCGGCTAATTTTTGTATTTTTTTTTTTGAGACGGAGTCTTGCTCTGTCGCCAGCTGGAGTGCAGTGACACGATCTCAGCTCACTGCAACCTCCGCCTCCTGAGTTCAAGCGATTCTCCTGCCTCAGCCTCCCAAGTAGCTGGGATTTCAGGCATGTGCCACCACGCCTGGCTAATTTTTTGTATTTTAGTAGAGACGGGATTTTGCCATTTTGGCCAGGCTGGTCTCGAACTCCTGACCTCAGGTGATCTGCCCGCCTCAACCTCCCAAAGTGTTGGGATTACAGGCATGAGTCACCATGCCCAGCTTAAATTCTGTTTTTATAGTTTGGTATTGAATTGTAAATATCAGGAGAAAAAAATGAGTTTGCTTTCTTTAGTTTTGTGGTTAAGTATCAATATAACCTAGGTCTTGGAAACTGTATCTGTATTTTTAGGGGTTGTATTGGGTTCTTTTTCTTTTTCTTGGTAAAAATGAGATTGGTAAATTTGGAGTATGTAATGGTGTATACTAGTGCCCAAATATGAGATTCTTTATATGTATTTAGATAATTATCATAGTGTATCATATTTGAATATTATACAATTTCAAATGTATTGTTAATAAAAAATCACAGTTTGATTTAATTGAAAAGTGGCTGAGACATAATTTTTTATTATAAGAAATATTGTGAGCTGGGTATGGTAATATATGCATGTAGTCTTAGCTACTCAGGAGGCTGAGGCAGGAGAATCCCTCGAGTCCAGGAGTTTGAGTCCAGCCTGGGCAACATAGTGAGACCTTGTCTCTTAAAAATAAATAAAAAAATAAATAAAAATTTAAAATAATTAAGAAATATTGTGGAAAAATTGCATGTGAATAAACACTTCTTTTTAAAGGCTCTACTTTTCAAGAATGGATTGACAGTATATGTGTGTGTCAGATTATACGTGTGTGTGTGTATCAAATTTAGAGTAGATTTGAAGTTACTGGATTTATCACCATTATACCTGGAATTAGCTAGTCACCGTTATACCTTGTTGATGATGCTGAAACTATGCCCCTCACTAAGATAGTTTTTATTATGAAGTGACTCAGAAATGTCAATTTTAATGAAAAAAGTTATTGGCGTACTTGTTCATTTTGGAATAATTGAAGCAATTGTTTATGCCTGTACTTCAGAAGCTGTGTGGAAAATACGTAATATCCTTTCTAAGTATCAGTCTGCATTCAAAGACAAAATATTTGAATCTTCTGAATACTTCAGTTCCAGTGAAACAGTCCACAGGATTTTCATGCCAAAAAACCCATATGTGCTGAAGAATGGTGAACACCGCCTTATCTAGATTCCACCCCTTGCCCTAATTAAACACCAGTGCTGGCAGCGATGCATTCTCCGTATACCCACTGTAATTACTACACAATCCTAAAATTGTATAACTTTGGTCCAAAAAACGAAGGGTGCAATTTTAAAGTAAAGTGAAACACTGCAATGAGATACAGAGACAGAGAATGCTAATTAATAGATTATAGTCAGCCAGCAGTGGGGCCTAATTAAACTCTGCATTCATTATACCCTCCATAGCCCTCAGAGGTCAGGCATCTTCCACTTGATAAAGAAGATTGGTTTAATAGGATTTACAGTAATTAAATGGTTTCCCCATTTCAGTTTGAGACTGGGGATTTAGGTCCATTCTAAATATTGGATCTGATTGGACCATAGAGATCTTGTTCTAGGATCCTATTAGATGTAAAGACGCATTTGCTTAGAATTACTTGATATGTGTGGTTCTTTATTATGGAGTTCTTTTAGAAGATGTTTCTGATATAAATACTCAGCAATTTTTATGTCTCATCCTTTTGTTACTGAACTTTCAAATACTGCTGGTTGGAGAGTTAGAATAGTATGTAACAGGGAAGGCTTTTTCTTTTTCTTTTTTAAAATTGGGAGTCAGGAAGGTTTTTGGTGTATGTTTGACAAAGAATGAAAATCTAGCTGTGAGCTTGGTGGAACTGCAGAGCTACTAAGACTTTGGATGGGGCCGGGCTCAGTGGCTCATGCCTATAATCCCAGCACTTTGGGAGGCTGAGGTGGGCGGATCACGAGGTCAGGAGATCGAGACCATCCTGGCTAACACGGTGAAACCCCGTCTCTACTAAAAATACAAAAAATTAGCTGAGTGTGGTGGCGGGCACCTGTAGTCCCAGCTACTCGGGAGGCTGAGGCAGGAGAATGGCGTGAACCCGAGAGGCGGAGCTTGCAGTGAGCTGAGATCGCACCACTGCACTCCAGCCTGGGAGACAGAGCATGACTCCGTCTCAGAAAAAAAAAAATACTTTGGATGATTTTTTTTTTAAATTCTAAACAGCATTTAACCAGATTATCATCATACTTTTTAAATTATGCCTTGAAATAATTCTGTATGTTAAATTTAGTTGGAAGCTTATTTTAAAAATGTTTATTTAAAGCACTGTCATTGAAATATTTCATGAACAAAATACTGTTTAATATTATAGGACGGCAGGTGAATTTAATGTTTTTTGCCTTGTGTGTTGTGTTTCTTCTCTTTTTGGAGTCTGATTTTTATGTTGCTCATTTACTTAGGAATCGAGAATTTCTAGTTCAGAACTGCAAAAAGATAACCTTGTGTAATTCTTTGTCATTTTTTTTTCTCATTATTTGGAGACTTTTGACTATTAACATTTATATAATTTTAGGTTGTATCTTGATTTGCCGCATGATAAAAGCCATTATTATTTGCCATTAAATAAACTTTTTTTTTTTTTTTTTGAGACAGAGTTTTGCTCTTGTTGCCCAGCCTGGAGTGCAATGGTGCGATCTCGGCTCAGTGCAGCCTCCACCTCCCAGGTTCAAGTGATTCTCCTGCCTCAGCCTCCTGAGTAGCTGGAACTGCAGGTGCACGCCACCACGCCCGGCTAATTTTTTGTATTTTTAGTAGAGATGGTGTTTCGCCATGTTGGGCAGGCTGGTCTCAAACTCCTGGCCTCAGGTGATCTGTCAACCTCGGCCTCCCAAAGTGTTGGGATTACAGGTGTGAGCCACTGCTCCTGGCCTTAAATAAACTTTGTCATGAGGTTGCTAGTTGTTTCACTGTCATTTAAAGTCTGATCTTAAAATTTGGGATCTATGTCTTAGATTATTGTTTTAATTTTCTTTTTGATAATTCTGTTTTAACAAGGAGATGTAGATAAATTGGTATCCTTGTTTATTGCCCAGATAAGTTTAATCTTTTTTGTTGTTTCAGAAGGGGAATGTGTTAAAGGCACTATGCAGAGTGCCATGAGAAAATGAAATCAAATGTAAAATGGATAATGTTCCTTTTGGGGAGTTAACAATCATTTCGAGAAGCAAAATTTGTACATGTATGGCTTACAGAAATTTGAACTATGCATTTATCAGGTCTTGATCATAGGTGAAGGTATTTAAATCAGTGTGGGAAATTTGCTTCTTTTACAGTTGGTAAGTTTGCTTATCTGGAATGTAGTGAAGTATGAAAAATAATTAAGCAGAGCTAATAAAAATGTTGCACAAATATGAGATAGGGCTTATATGAAGAAATAAGGGCAGAGTTTGCCAGATAATTGCAGTTTCTCTCTCACTTTTTATTTTCCTCTGTCTTTTTGGATCTCATAGTGCAGTGTAGTGTGTGATCTCATCTCAGTGAAATAAAATTGTTTTTAGAGATTTGCTAATTTACAGCAAATTTGCAGATAGCATCTTAAATATAATTTGGGGGTCCTCTTTATTGTGCAAAAGAAATCAGAAAATGGGTTTAGTTTTTAGTTACATTAATGTTAATCAGTGGAGGTCATAGTTTCATTTTTTAACATTTAAAACCGTACCACCCTCTGGAACTTGCCATCTGTTATGAGTGCACTGTTATGCCCAGAAGAGTATAGGAGGTGCTTAGAAACCATACTTTATAAGAAATGGCTGAAGGAACTCAAGAAGAGAAGACTTGCAACATTTTAATTATACTCTTAAGTATTTGGTGGACAGCCATGTTGAAGGAGATTTTTCCTTTTTTCTTTCTTTGTTAGTATTGTTTTTGGAGAACAAACACTGGAAAAATGAGCACAAATATTAAGGTTTTAAATTTTGGCTGCAAGGAGGAATGGATTTTTGAAAAAAGCTATATCCGGCCTGGCGCAGTGGCTCACGTTTGTAAGCCC
Organism: Homo sapiens; assembly: GCF_000001405.40. Taxonomy (NCBI): domain Eukaryota; kingdom Metazoa; phylum Chordata; class Mammalia; order Primates; family Hominidae; genus Homo; species Homo sapiens. The sequence continues at coordinate 4,266 of NW_013171809.1, forward strand.
AGCACTTTGGGAGGCCGAGGCGGGCAGATCATGAGGTCAGGAGATCCAGAGCATCCTGGCTAACATGGTGAAACCCTGTCTCTACTAAAAATGCAAAAAATTAGCTGGGCTTGGTGGCGGGCACCTATAGTCCCAGCTACTCGGGAGGCTGAGGCAGGAGAATAGCGTGAACCCGGGAGGCGGCTCTTGCAGTGAGCCCGAGATTGCGCCACTGCACTCCAGCCTGGGCGACAGAGCAAGACTCCGTCTCAAAAAAAAAAAAAGAAAAAGAAAAAAACTATTTCCATTTGATGAAAGAACAGTTTCACAAAGTAATGCTTCATCATCACTAGAAGTGGTCACTGGGAGGTCAGATTGCCTTCTGACAGCTGCGTGGGTGCCCTAAGTCATTGAACTCTTCACAACGCCCAAGGGGGTATGGCATCAAGTGGTACTTTGTGGAGAAACATTTAGGGAGTTTACCCCATCCTCCCAGGTCCTTTTGTCCTTTTTCTCCCTCCCCATCTCCTTTCCTTCTTTTATGACAATTTTGTTGAGATATAATTGAATTCACCCTTTAAAGTATAGTTTTTTCTTTTTTTTTTTGAGACGGAGTCTCGCTCTGTTGCCCAGGCTGGAGTGCAGTGGTGGGATCTCGGCTCACTGCAACCTCCGCCTCCCAGGTTCAAGCAGTTCTCTGCCTCAGCCTCCCAAGCAGCTGGGATTACAGGCACACGCCACCATGCCCTGCTAATTTTTGTATTTTTAGTAGAGACAGGGTTTCACCATCTTGGCCAGACTGGTCTTGAATTCCTGACCTGGTGATCTACCTGCTTCGGCCTCCCAAAGTGCTAAGATTACAGGCGTGAGCCACTGTGCCCAGCCTTTTCTTTCCTAATCTGATTTACTCAATGAAGATTTTGAAGAAAGTAATAGTAAGTTGCCCTAGGGAGTTCTTGAACGAGGGCATAAATGATGTAATAAAAAATACTGTTCAGGAGCAGCTTTTACTGCTGTCAGCAGAGTGGATTGAAGAAAAGGTGGGGAAAGGAAATGAGTTTCTTGTAGAAGACCTGGATTAAACAGGGTAATAGGAATGGAGAAGAAGGTGCACATCCATGAGATTTTCAAAGAAATATTTGGATATAGGCAGGGAACGATGGCTCGTGCCTGTAGTCCCAGCACTTTGGGAGGCCAAGGTGGGCAGGTTACTTGAGCCCAGGAGTTCAAGACCAGCCTCGGCAAAATAGTGAGACCCCATCTCTTAAAAAACAAAATTAGGGCCAGGCACGGTGGCTCACGCCTGTAATCCCAGCACTTTGGGAGGCCGAGGCTGGCGGATCACGAGGTCAGGAGATCGAGACCATCCTGGCTAACATGGTGAAACCCTGTCTCTACTAAAAATACAAAAAAATTAGCTGGGCGTGGTGGTGGGCGCCTGTAGTCCCAGCTACTCGGGAGGCTGAGGCAGGAGAATGGCGTGAACCCGGGAGGCGGAGTTTGCAGTCAGCCGAAATCGCACCACTGCACTCCAGCCCTGGGTGACAGAGCGAGACGTTGTCTCAAAAAAAAAAAAAAATAAAAATAAATAAATAAATAAATAAAAAATTAGCTGGCATGGTGGTATGTGCCTGTAGCCCCAGCTACTTGGGAGGCTAGGGCAGGAGGATAGTTTGACCGCAGGAGGTGGAAGCTGCAGTGAGCTGTGAGTGCACTACTGCACTTCCACCTGGGTGACAGAGCAAGAGTCTGTCAAAAAAAAAAAGAAAGAAAAGAAATATTTGGATATAGACGGCAAGAGAGAAGAATACAGTGAACCATGGTATTGAGATTGGGGAACTCTTTTCCCTACGATTAACAACGGAAATGGATTAGAAAGTGGAACTAAATTTAGAGTAAGGAATGATGAATTTGGTTTTAATTATTTGAATAAAAGTTTTTCATAAGAATTTGGAGATAAGAGACTAATGACTGTGACCTCAGGTACATGCATATAGATGTTATAAAGGTGTGCTTGTTAATGTTGGGGAACTCACTTTTCTAGTTAATTCAGTATCAGCTACATGCCTCTGCTTATGGGAGTAAGAAGTGGAGAGGGAGAAGCCATTAGAAGATACAGTTTTATATATATGTTCTCATCCAGCTCGATTTGTGTTTTGGTTCTCTGTCTTTATTGTGGTATTTTTGTTTGACAGCAGATACCTTGAGTGATTCTCTCAATTCCTGAAAGTTATTATTTATTAAAGTTAATACTGATTTATGATTTTTTTACAAACTTCTACTATTAGATGTCCCTTATTTTGTTTTAGTTAACAACAAGTTTATTGGAGATCATGTACCTACCTCTGTTGTGATAAATTAGGAGTGACTTTGGGAAAAAGAGAAATATTACAAAAAATGTGCTTTCAGTGAGGAAATGATAAATTTTGTTTTTGAAAATGTTCTTTTCTTCCCTTATGGACAAGATTAGAAATGCTTTTATGAACTGTTTTTGTGCTACCATACACATTTCTAAAAATACTCATTTTTCTTTTTCTTTTTTTCTTTTTTCTTTTTTTTTTTTTTTGAGACGGAGTCTCGCTCTGTCAACCAGGCTGGAGTGCAGTGGCGCAATACTCCGCCTCCCGAGTTCATGTCATTCTCCTGCCTCAGCCTCCCGAGTAGCTGAGACTACAGGCACCCACCACCATGCCCGGCTAATTTTTTGTATTTTTAGTGGAGACGGGATTTCACCGTGTTAGCCGGGATGGTCTCCATCTCCTGACCTCGTGATCCGCCCACCTAGGCCTCCCAAAGTGCTGGGTTTACAGGCGTGAGCCACCGTGCCCGGCCTAAAAATACTCATTTTTCTTTCCAGATTTGGAAAGTTAGTCTTTAACGTAGATCTTTTCCTTTGATTTTTCCATATATTAACAATACTTACTGAACCCTTTCCCCCTTTATTTTGCCAGTCTTTTCTACGTAATAGGCTTTCCTTCCTAATACTGGATTGCAGTGACACTTGCTTAATTTCATATGTGGTGACTGTATAGGCCGAGAAAGTGAGATAGTTCAGCCTTAATGTACACAGTGTACCATCTCTTACCGGTGGCTGGTAGCTTATGTACTTTCAGAGAATGTGGTATGCAAAGATCTGTGTAGCTTTGAAGTCATCCTGAGATAACTGCTCTGATCTTAAATGATCCTCAGATACTTGAAGAGTCCTCTGTAGCAGTAATTCTTAAACTTGTTGGCCACAGGACCTCTGTATATTGTAAAAATTATTAAGGACCCCAAGCAGCTTTTGTTTATGTAGGTTATATCTACCAATATTTGTCATATTAGATACTAAAATAAAAAAATAATATTTATTAGTACATTTAGAAACAATAAACCTAATAAATGTTATCATAAGTAACGTTTTAAAATGAAAAACAGTTTTGCAAGTCTCTCTTTCTTTTTTTTTTTTTTTGAGACAGAGCCTTTGCACTGTTTCCTAGACTGGAGTGCAGTGGCATGATCTTGGCTCACTGCAGCCTCCGCCTCCCGGGTTCAAGTGATTCTCCTGCCTCAGCCTCCCAAGTAGGTGGGACTACAGGCATCTGCCACCATGCCTGGCTACTTTTGTATTTTTAGTAGAGACAGGGTTTTGCCATGTTGGCCAGGCTGGTCTGGAACTCCTGACCTCAGGTGATCCACCTGCCTCAGCCTCCCAAAGTGCTGGGATTACAGGCGTGAGCCACCGTACCCAGCCTAGTTTTGCATGTCTCTCTAAGGAAAGGAGGACTACAAATCTAAAGGCCTTATGTGGGTCTTCTGCCTCTTGTAAGAGGCTGCCACTAGAGTGCTCACTAGGTCACTCTTTAGCTGAGATCTCTGTTACTTGTTCAGTATTGTAATAAAATATTATGACCTGTGACATCAACATGGATTAACAAGTATCTGGCTTCTTGGTCAAGGGTTAGGAAGTTACACTGTTCTTTAGTAACAGTGAGCAATGGGAAAATGCTGTGAGTAATGGTGAGGAATGGTAACTTTGTTGATTTGTTGTTGATAGCATGTATTTCTTGACCCTTAGAGAGGTTCTTTGGGTGGGCTGTCTTAAGGAAGCCCTTATATTGTAGTTGGCTAACCAACAGGCCTGCGCCATCACACCCAGCTAATTTTTGTATTTTTAGTAGAGACGGGGTGTTGCCATGGTGGCCAGGCTGGTCTCAATCTCCAGACCTCAGATGATCCACCCGCCTTGGCCTCCCAAAGTGCTGGCATTACAGGTGTGAGCCACTGCATCTGGCCTACCAGTACTAGAGTCTGGCTCTGTTGCCCAGGCTGGAGTGTGCAGTGGTGTGATCTCCGCTCATTGCACGCTCCGCTTCCCAGGTTCACGCCATTCTCCTGCCTCAGCCTCCCGAGTAGCTGGGACTACAGGCACCTACCACCGCGCCCAGCTATTTTTTTGTATTTTTAGTAGAGACGGGGTTTCACCGTGTTAGCTAGGATGGTCTTAACCTCCAGACCTGGTGATCTGCCCGCCTCAGCTTCCCGAAGTGCTGGGATTACAGATGTGAGCCATTGCGCCCGGCCTGTTTTTTTTTTTTTTTTTTCTTTTTTTGAAATGGAGTTTAGCTCTGTTGCCCAGATGGAGTGCAGTGACACGATCTTGGCTCACTGTAACCTCCACCTCCCGGGTTCAACCGGTTCTCTTGCTTCAGCCTCCAGAGTAGCTGGGATTACAGGCACCTGCCACTATGCTCACCTAATTTTGGAATTTTTAGTAGAGACAGGGTTTCACTATGCCAGGTCTCAAACTCCTGAACCCAAGTGATCCACCCACCTTGGCCTCCCAAAGTGCTGGGATTACAGGTGTGAGCCACCGCACTCGGCCTAGTATTTTTAATTTTTTTTTTTTTAAACCCAGTTGCATTGTATTTATGTGATAAACCTACAGCATTTGTTGTATTTCAAAGAAGCATTTTTGGGAACTAAGTTTGTTTTATAGGACTTAAAATTTGAAAAATTGGGAGAATACATTCAAAAAATGTTCTTTTGATTATCTTTCATGGATTTGATAGCCTGCATAATAAGTAATTTCTTCTTTTCACATGACTCCTCTTCCTGGGCATAGGAACTTAAAGTAGGTACTACATTCTTAGGAGAGAAGCATATTGTAATGAGTGTTTCCAGTCTTTCCTGTCTTGTAATTTTAGGAGGGTCTATTTCTTATTTTTCTATGAAAACATGTTATCTATGGTACAGAGTATCTTCTTTTTCTTTCTTTTTCTTTTCTTTTCTTTTCTTTTTTTTTTTTTTAGACAGAGCCTTGCTCTCTCGCCCAGGCTGGAGTGCAGTGGCGCGATCTTGGCTGATTGCAACCTTTGCCTCCCGGGTCTAAGCGATTCTCCTACCTCAGTCTCCCAAGTAGCAGGGACTACAGACGCCTGCTACCACGCCTGGCTAATTTTTGTATTTTTTAGTAGAGACAGGGTTTCACCATATTGGTCAGGCTGGTCTCGAACTCCTGACCTTGTGATCTGCCTGCCTTGGCCTCCCAAAGTGCTGAGATTACAGGCATGAGCCACTGCGCCCGGCCTGTACAGAGTATTTTCAAGAGATGAAGCAGGTAAAAGGTTATTTACTTAAATGGTAGCAGATAAATTTTTGGATTTCTCTTGGTATTTCTGATGAAAGATACTTATTTTAAAGGGATAGTGTATTGGGTCTCAATTGTTGGAAAGTTGTGGGAACACTGGCTGTTAGAATAACTGGGGGCAGAAGGTGTTTCTAGGATTTAGGGTGGAGAGGTCTTAAAGTTACCACATTCCCCTCACTGCTTAGGACAGGTCTGCATACTGAAAAGCTTTCCCTCATACCATATGATTTTCATATGTCTTGCTAGGAATTTGATAGGTGAAAAAAATCTGCTTATAGTCATTTGAGCCAAGATCCTATAACTAAATAAATGTGTGTAAGTGCATTAGCATTGTTTGACTGAGGACGAAGTTGATAGAAGATTATACTTCGTTTTGTTTGTAACTTTACCTAGAACTTTTGCCATTTTGGAAAAGCACTTCAACAGCAACATTGCATTGTTGCTAATGCTACTGTCTCTTTAGCTTCTGTTTGCATAGTCTTTTGGTGTAGTTGTGCCCTGGCATTTACATGTTAACATACATACTATTTTATTATAAATTCTTTCTTTTCATTTTTCCTTCATACAGCATTATATAATTTTTTTTTGAAACCGTATGTGGGAGTGGGCTTATTATCTGTGCATTTCAGGATAGTGAAGGGCATATTTACAAAATGTTTGTTATAAAATGGGAGAGTATTAAGTCTGATAAGCCTGAAATTCACTGGTGTCATAGATGGAACACTGAATCAGGAGAGCTGCATTCTAGTTCTGATCCTGGCTTTGCCAGGTGTGTAGCCATGGCAGTATTTAAGCGTTTTGAATGCCAGTTTCCTCATCTTTAAAACCCATAGAGTTGGACTAGGTGATCTTTAGAGTCTTTCTTCTGAAATTACTTGATTTTGTTTTTGTCAGTTATCCTAGTGGAATTCTCTAAGAGTCTGTTCACTTTGATCATAATGCCCAAATTCAAAACTGATTCATATGACCAAGTTGAGTGCTTCTGGGAAGGAGAAATACATGACTAATGAAGTTCTTTTCAAGGTAGATGGGAGAAAATCAGTGTTTACATCTAAAGGGCAAAGAGCCTTCATGTGAATTTCATCAGTTGACAAATGGGGATCATAATACTTGTATTGTTGTTGGAATATTTAAGTGAGATTAAAGAAGATAATATTTATAAATTATGGACAAGACTACCTGACATAATAGGTATGCAGATAAAAGTTGAATTAAAATTAAGTCAAACATTTCTTAAATACAAATACATTTTATAATATATTTTGAAGTATGAAATATACCTTTCATGATCTGCTACCAGAGGCAAACAGTAGCATGGGACCTATAAAATTTTTTTAGAAAGTGGGTCACAGTGGATAATAAGTTTCATTTGGATAACTAATCACTACCAGCCCAGCCTTAATATTCCTGTAGGAGTTATCAGGAACTTTGAGTAGAGTAATTAGCTCTCAGGATTTTCAGTTACAGTCATATTCATTATTTAACATTTTTATTTCCACAATGACTCATCCATGAATTATGGAGTGCTTTCCCAAAAGGAATGTAGTATTGCTGGAAATGAATTTTTTATTGCTCTATTTTCTTTCTTTGGTAAGGGGTTCCTTGTTGGTTAGTTGGGCCCAAAACTCTCCACAAATAATTTAAAATACGTGCTTTTGTATGAAGATGACTTAACAAGGCAGTGGAGATTTCTCTTGAATGGGCAACATAGAATGCTTAAATTTTCTTATTCTGCTTATTTTAAATTATTAATTTTTGTACTGTGGTCCTGTACTGTGCTTTTTAAATTCTTACATGATAAGTGTATGTCACTAAAAGGTATACTTTGCTCACAATTTCCCTATTATTTACTCCACTGACATTAAAATTGTAGCATTACATCTGAGGTTCCCTTTGGTTTTTATGTATCATTTGCTGTTGTATCCTTTAAAAAATAGTGTAATAGATTTGTCAGTGAAAATGATGTCTTACTGTGATGCTGTTATCAAAGGCATCTCTGAGTACCTATGATAGAGAACTAGTGAAGGGGTTAATATCTATTGTAGATATAGATGCTAATATATCTAGACTCTTATAGATGCTAGTAATTATTATAGAACATTTATAGATACCATCCTAGATGCTTTCATATACATTGCTTCTAATCCTTACTAACAGTTCTGTAGGTAAGCAATGTTGTCCTCATTTATAGGTGAGGAAATTGAAAATTAAGAGAGGAATTTGTTCAGGTTTCACATCTAGCAAGTGACAGATATTGGTCCGTCTGGCTACAAAGCCAAATGTCATTGTGTTTTTGACTAAGGACAAATGAATGAAGTGTACATACTAGTTTAAAATATTTATTGAAAAATTAATATTCAGTCATTTATTAAATGTAAAAGATGGCATTAAAATTCCTCTGTGTTTTGTTGGAGGAGGAAATACAAGAATAGGTGTATCATAGGATCCAAAGGCTCCTGAGAAGGGGTTAACATTGAGAGAAGGGGTAGAGAAAAGAGATAATAGGTGATCAGTTGAGAAGATGATAAATATAATTTGATTACTTTAAATAATCAGTCAACATCAGCAGGTGTAAATGACATACATCAGTACTTTTCTTGTTTTGATTAGGCAGGAAGCAGTAGAGTAATGATTCCCAGACTTGCATTTTGCACACTAGCAAAATAAAATATAAATAACAGAAAAAAAGTGGGGGAGACTGGCATAGGATTGTCAAATAAAAACAATTAAAAAGTGATACATGACTACATAGTATTACTGTTGTTTTATAAGGGGAAGGTCAATCTAACACCAAAGGAATTGTGCATCATTCCACAATAAGAGACAGTTCTTTCAAGAAAATACAGATTTTAACTTTGTAGTGACAGTTTTATTAAGGCAACTTGGTCATGGACTGGCTTTGAGAAACATTAGTTTATAATAGGGAACACCACATTATAGCCAAATCCTTCCTACAGGAGTTGTACATCCTATAAGCAAAGAATGGCTTTTACATTTTTAAATGATTAAAAAATTAATATATTGTGATATGTGAAAATTATATGAAATTCAAAATTCAGTGTGCATAAATAAAGTTTTATTGGGACACAGCTATGTTTATTTTTGTATTATATATGGCTGCTTTCACACCAGTGGTAGATAGAGTAGTTGTGATAGAGTCTATATGACTTACTAGACCTGAAATACAGTGTCTACTCTCTGGCCTTTTACAAAGTTTTTCAATACTTTGTTTGGATAACAGAGTAAATAATAATAGCTAACACTTGTGTAGTGTTTACTAAGAAACAGGCCCTGTTTTATGTGCTCTATGTTATTAACCATCATAACAATTTTATGAGGTAGGTACTGTTTATTGAAGTGGAAACTGAGGCTGAGAGTAAGTTGCCCAAGGTCACATGGCTGTTAGGTGGCAGAGGCAGCCTTCTGCCTAGATGGTGCCACTCCACGGTACATGCTTCATCACTGCACTTGGCTAGCAGAGAAGGAAATCAGAGACTTCAGGATGTGACGCACCCTTCACATTTGCCGTAGTTGTTTTAGGAAAAGAGGAAAGTAGCCTTATTCTATAGTTGCCTGAAGTGTTATCACTGAGTAGTTGAATGAAGAATTCAGCATTAATTACTTCATGATGCATGAACATTTGGTGTATTTTTATGTGACCCAGTGGATTTTCCCCAGAGGTCTGTTGATTGAAATGTCCTACTTATTGATGTCCTACTTATTGAACTTTTGAACAAATAAATCTGTTATTTCTGAACTATTGAGTTCATTTTTGGTATAATTAGAATAATAAATTACACTATTAACTTGGTGGAGGGTAACTGTTTCTCTATCATAAATATTTATCGTGTTGTTCTTAAGGAGCATAAGGCATAAGCCCCCCGTCATTGATTTAATTTAAAAATAAAACATTTATTGACACATACAGAAATATTTTAATTAAAAATTGTTAAATGGCTTTTTTAATGTCTATATATATTCTACCCCCCACCCCCCAAAAAAAGCCATTGTATGCCAAAGCCCGAAAGAAGAATTACATTACCAGTAGTTGGATTTTTGGCTGAATCTATTCAAGGGGAAATCACTATTTTCGTTTTAGAGATGGCTTTGGGTGGAGGAGGTAAGGTTTCAAGAACTGGTTGAATGAAAGAATATTGACAAGTAAGTGAATAAACTAGAATTAGTGTGACCACTTCTGATTTCTCAAATAATGTGTTTACAAACAGTGTTCCTACATTGTAATGGCAGTATAAAATGCTGATTTAAATAAATAGAAGTTTAGTGGCTACACTTTTTCTTAGTTAAACCTCACTATATTCTGGATTTAAAAATGACAGTAACTAATGTTAGTTTTGTGCTCCTCTGAAGGTTAGAAACCTGTTATATGTGTCTAAAACGGGTTTTAATGGGTTTAAGACCACAGAGAAGATAGGACTGACACTTTAGTAAGATTCTTTTTTTCAATCTATTTAATTGTTCTATGATTTTACCTTATTCAAGGTGATGGAGGGTGAATTAGGGTGGGTAAAGGGTAGGGGGAATTGAGACAGTGGTTAAGGTTGATTTTTGACTTGTAGTTCGCTTTCATCTTTAAATTGTGGAAGTCGCCTTCCTTTGTTCATTTTGAAGTTTTGGGCAAAATGTTCTCAGGCTAGATGCAGGTAATGCAGGTAACAGCGGCCAGCACTTCCCATACTAGAGGGCGTTGACTTTCTCAAAGTGTTGACTCGTTTGTGATGTTTTTGCATTTGTTTGGTTTCTGTTTGCTGCTATGTTGTTGCTCTTCCCAGTATGGGATAGGGTTATGGTATTAGTAGAATTACAGTGTTAGTGGTTTTTCTTCCTCTTCCCATTCCATCCATAACCTTGACACTCATAATTTTGAAACCTATCGTTCATTACAAGGGTTAAAATCTAAAATGTGACTGTGCAGGTTGAGATGGCATGTTACAGCTCCTGCCACCTCTTTTTCTTGTGACAGATGGCTTCCCCTCCTGGTTGTAATCCACTGCTGATTTTTTTCAAAGAGCGAATACCATGTGTTCCCCATTTTGGCTCTGGTTGTGTTCTGCCCACTCATTGGCTTCAGAGGATCTTGAAACAGGAGGTACTTGCTGCTGGCATTTATGGCAGGAAGTGGATACAATTGCGATACTTTGTGCCAAGTGTTCATTTATTAGAAAAATTGTGCTTCCTAAAATTAAACATTATTTCTCTGTCACATCAAGAGTAAAGCTAAATTTTATTACTTTTTAGAATATGCTTTTCCCTTAATGTTGTATTATAAAAATTTTTTGGTGGCAAATTTATTACAAAATAGATTTTTAAATCTGAATTTCACATACTCAAAGATTTATAGTCTGTGCAAGACATTGAATGAGTAGCTCTAATTGCACTAGTATAATATAATTACGAAAGGGATCTGTATCACAGAGACTTCTGATCACAGAAACAGTTGGAATTGTTTGTGATGTGTGGTATTGAACTTGTGATTGCATATGCTTTGTGGTACCTATAGACAGTAGTGTTTGTCTATTTTAACTCTCTTGCTTCGGATCTCCCCTTGAGTAGATTCAGCTAAATAAGTTATAAATTTCACCATCTTAGGCCTTCTTGAAAATTATAAGTATCTGAGACAGCTTAATTTCATAAAGCTACTGTGCATATTTGGAAGTATGGTGTTTGGTTTTTTAAAAAAACCTGGCAGGCCAGAGTAAGCAAATTGTTTTTTTATGTTTTTGTCAAGAAACACCCCAAGATAAATGTAAACAAATATTTGCGCATTACCGTCATTGATACTGGAATTTGACATTTCTGTCCTCAGAAGTCACTGTTCTGTCAGAGTCTGCTGTACTTGCCTGAGTGAATAGTGCAGGATTGGCAAAAACGTTGCCTGCTCATGGCAGATCATCTCTAAATCTCTCTTGACAACATCTCTAGCTGAACCCAGATCAGTGATTCTCAACCTTGGCTGCATATTGGTATCACTGAGAAACTTAAAAAACAAACAAACCAAAACCTGATGCCTGAGTCTCACCCAAACCCTCAGATAATTTGATTTGATTGGGCTTGGGGGTGGTCTTGCTGTGGAGATTTAAAAAATCTCCCCAGGTCATTCTAATGTGAAGTCAAGGTTGGTTGAGAACCACTGGCTACTACAAATGGATAAGAGTTGGTAGTGTGAACTGAAATGTATTTGCCATCCTCAGTCTAGTGAGGGGATTTTCTAACCATGCCACAATATATAAACAATTTGCAGTTTGAATGGATAGAGGTTGGTTATCATTGGAATTTGAAAGGACAAATGACAAGTAACATCGGATGATTTACCAGTGTTTTGTGATCTTTTTTTTTTTTTTTTTTTTTTAAGATGGAGTCTCACTCTTGTTGCCCAGGCTGGAGTGCAATGGTACGATCTCAGCTCACTGCAACCTCCACCTCCCGGGTTCAAGCGATTCTCCTGTCTCAGCCTCCTGATTTACAGGCATGTGCCACCATGCCCGGCTAATTTTGTATTTTTAGTAGAGACAGGGTTTTACCATGTTGGCCAGGCTGGTCTCAAACTCCTGACCTCAGGTGATCCGCCCGCCTCGGCCTCCCAAAGTGCTGGGATTACAGGCGTGAGCCACTGCGCCCGGCCAATGACATTTTAAAAGAATTGCCTTCAGAGGGTAGCTGGAAAAGCAAATGGATGTGGGACAAGAGGTTGTTCCACAACCTCCTGGGGTGGGGATACCCGTTCTGTGATGGCATTAAGGAGAACGAGAGGGCTGAGAAGAGAGCAAAATGATCAGCCCTGGATTTTGGGACTTGGCCAAAAAAGAAAGGATGGAACAGGACGTCAGGATAAGATCTAAGACTTGAAGCAGAAACTGTACTTCTTCCTGACCCAGGAGGTGTGAGACAGGGAAGTGGTGGTAGCAAACAGGATAGAATGAGAGGTTCCCTTTTACACCCAAACTTGTTCTTTGCTTAGTGGCAGAAGGCTCAATTTTTCTTTATTAGAGCATTTTCTTTATTACAGCACTATGAGCTTTACTATATGTGAATCACCTGTGAGCACTTGTTAAAATTTCTGGATCCCTCCCAAAGTTTCTGGTTTAGGACTGCTGGGGGAAGGCTCAGGAATCTGTATTTGTGAAGGTTAACTGAACCTTTTTTGTTTGCTTACCATCTATTCAGTGTTTTCCCTATTCTTTGTTCTATTTATTTAGTAATTTAAAAAATTGACTCATTTTAAAAAACTGAATCTTATTTTAAAATGAAACTGTCACTACTACACGTGGAAAACATTTGCCAAAAAATAAAAAATGAAAGTGTAAATACATAACTATTAAGAAAAAGGTCAGGCCGAGCACTTTGGGAGGCCGAGGCGGGTTGATCACGAGGTGAAGGAATCGAGACCATCCTGGCCAACATGGTGAAACCCCATCTCTACAAAAAAATGCAAAAATTAGCTGAGCGTGGTGGCGCGTTCCTGTAGTCCCAGCTACTAGAGAGGCTGAGGCAGGAGAATCGCTTGAACCCGGGAGGCGGAAGTTGCAGTGAGCCGAGATTGTGCCACTGCACTCCAGCCTGGCAACAGAGTGAGACTCAGTCTCAAAAAAAAAAGTCATATATGTACCACTCTGAAGATTATTTTTAATATCATTTTGGGAACTACTAGCGATTCTGATACAGATAGTTTTGTCATCATACTTGGAGAAATATTGAACTAGAGACAAAAAGTTTCACTTAGATTGCATGATTTTCAGCTACTGTTGCACACTTGGAATCTGGGGCATTTTTAAAATACTTTTGGTCAGCCCCCATCCCCCGATTTAATTGGTGTGGGCTACAACCTGGACATCAGGATTTTTAAAACACTCTCCTAAGGTAATCGTAATGTATATTCTGGGTTGAGGATTTAGAGGTTAAAAAGCATATAATGCAGTTAGACTAAGAAGCATAAATTCATGAATACTAAAATACACTTATCTCGGTATAATTAGAAATAAGGAAGACTGGCTGGGCATGGTGGCTCATGCCTGTAATCCCAGTGGTTTGGGAGGCCGAGGCAGGAGGATCACTTGAGGCGAGGAGTTTGAGACCAGCAAGGGCTACATAGCAAGGCCTCGTCTCTACCCCAAAAAAAAAAAAAAAAAAAAAAAAGGGCAGAAGAAAAATTAGACAGGTACAGTGGTAGGTGCCTGCAAATCCCAGCTACTCAGGAGGCTAAGGTGGGAGGATTGCTGGAGTCCAGGAGGTTGAGGCTGCAGTGAGTCCTGATCCTGTCACTGCACTCCAGCCTGGGTGACAGAGCGAGACCCTGTCTCTTATAACAAGAATGAAAAACACCACAGTGACCACCTGGGGGATGTGGGCAGGGGGAGAGGAAAAGAAGGTGAATTAATAAAGCACTAAGGCACCGTGTCCTTATGATCGCCTCTGCTCCTGCCTGCTTCTCTTGTTTTCTGTTCTTGATGAATAGTGTGAATTAATAAAGCACTAAGGCACCGTGTCCTTATGATCGCCTCTGCTCCTGCCTGCTTCTCTTGTTTTCTGTTCTTGATGAATAGCGTGAATTAATAAAGCACTAAGGCACCGTGTCCTTATGATCGCCTCTGCTCCTGCCTGCTTCTCTTGTTTTCTGTTCTTGATGAATAGCAAGAGCTTTTAAATTGTCAGCTAGTCCCCAAACGTAAGTGTGCATCAGAATTAACTGGAGGGTTTGTTAAAACACAGATTGCTGGGACTCATCCTCAGAATTTCTGATCGAGTAGGTCTGGGGTGGGGCACAAGATTTAATTTCCCAGGTGATGCTTCTGCTGCTGGTCAGGGAACAACACTTGAAACACTCATCTAGTTAACCAAGCTGAAAACTTTAGGACATTAGCCTGACATTTATTGTCTCTGTGTATTTTATATATATCCAGTGAACTTTAAAAATAATTACGTAAACACAAACCTGTGTTTCCATCACCTAGAATTAGTAAATGTTAATGGGTGTGTGGATAAATATTAATTATGAATAAATATTGCCTTTTTGGTGATAATAAACCGCTGTGTTTTATTTCACACTTTTGAGTACAAGGAATAAAAAAATACAACTTTTCTGGGCTTGAGATAAGTGCTCTTTAGGTTAAGCTATAACACCGAAGAGAAAATAGTGCTCCATTAACTTGTTTCATCAGTCTTTTAGGCAACCAAATGAGAAAAGCAAAGAAAAACAGTACAGTCTAGATTGTATACTCCATCTGAGAAAAAACATTAAAAAGTATTACGTATCTGAAAATGAAATTGTCGGACAGGCGCGGTGGCTCATGCCTATAGTCCCAGCATTTTGGGAGGCGGAGGAGGGCGGATCACCTGAGGTCGGGAGTTCAAGATCAGCCTGGCCAACATGGTGAAACCCCGTCTCCACTAAAAATACAAAAATTAGCCGGACATGGTGGCAGGCGCCTGTAATCCCAGCTACTCAGGAGGCTGAGGCAGGAGAATTTCTTGAACCCAGGAGGTGGAGGTTGCCGTGAGCCAAGATGGTGCCGTTGCACTCCAGTCTGGGCAACAAGAGTGAAACTATGTCTCGAAAAAAAAAAAAATTGTCAGCTGCAATCATTTTATCCTGTTTTTCTGTTTGAATAGTTTATTTGAATAGTTCATGGAATTAATAAGTTGAATTTATTTCTATATCTAGAAACTTGGGAGGGGAAGGGTAAACTGTTATGTATGGTATAAAAAATTTAAAAGTGTTGTGAAAATACTATTTTCAATTCTAAAACGCTTGTTCAATTCTAAAATGACTTGTTTCCCCTATGCTTGATATAGATCAAGAGGGAAAAAGTATTAATGGGTATTATTTATTCAGCAAACATTGAGTTTACATTCAGGACTGTCAACTTGACTATGGAACAATTCAAGTAGCTTTCGTTAGTCTTGCCTAGCTTTTCGTTATGCATTAAATATGTGCTTCATTCAGGAGGAGATCACCCCACCCCAGCCAGGTTAGTTTTGTCAGGTAGAAATAATGCTGTTTTTATATTCTCATGAAGAGTGTATGTATTTTTTCATCGTGGAGCTAATGCTAGGATTCCCTGAACTTGCTAGCTTCTATAAATCCTCCTCACCATTCTTCGAAGCAAGGGCTTTGGAAAGTATGGACTTAACTGTCTCATGAAAATCCTTGTATAGCTTCAATTGTCCTCCCTCCTATTTATTTTTCATGAAATTATTCTCTTGACACACTTGTTTATTTTCTATTTAGTCTTTCTAGACTCTTCTATTTGCTTCCTTCTTGGACTATTTGTTCCCTCTTGCTAGAACTCTTTATCTTCACTCATTAACTAAACTTTAAGAAAAGAGTCCTTCCCATGTTTCCTTTAACAGGGAGGCCAGCTTGTTTTTACAGCTCATATAATATATGCAGGTAGTAGAAGACAGATGAAAGCAAATACTTTGCAAATTATGGTATGTTTGCTTCAGTTTTCAAAAAGTCTGGGAGCTTGGTCTCTTTTCCCTGGAAACCACCTCTGTTTTGTCTTGCAGATGAGAGTGTGATCTTTAAGCTAGCCTTGACCTTTTGGGTGGTCTGTGCTTATCTTTCAAGTGTTTGCAGTAATTAGGACCAGTATATCAAAAAAAAGCATGCTACCTATGTTATTTGTATTGTCCTGATCTTCTAGATTCAGAAAAAAAGAGAGGTTATTATTTTTATAACTGGATTTCCTATATTTGTGGATAAGAATTCCAAAACTAACAAAGAGAAAATCATCTTGACTGTTACGTGCTGTAAAAATCATGTATTCAAAGTTTGTACTATCACAATTCTGGATTCATGAGGATTTGCCAGACATTCAAATTAAAGCCTAATCAATAACTTTCTTCTTCGTAGAGGGCCATTCTAAGGCCAGTGCTTTCCCAGGGCCTGGGTATATTATGTAGTATGATGAATATCACAGAGCAATTGCCCTTGTTTAGGAACTGTGTATTGGGATTCCTTTAAGATTTTTGTTTTAACATACTTACATTTCACTAGGATTCTTCCCTACCGCACCCCCGGCTCTTTTTAAAAAATTTACCTAGTTTGTCCCTTGCCTGTTTGGCTACTAGATATATTTAACTGACCTTAGACAGTGCTGCAGGCAGAGTTCAGCATTTAGGCAAAACGGATGGCAGTGTTAGCTGTTTTTCTCCTGGCATGTCACTGTGCATTATCTGGGATGGCATGCTTTGTGAGTATCTGTATGGTTTCCCAATGAGAGAAGGGAGGTCTGGCTGCATTCACTCGCACAAGGTGACCTTTGTTTCTACACATTCTCTGCTTTAACAAAGCATTGTCTAATCAGTCTATCAATACATATTTATTGAGTGCCTACTGTGAATGCCCAGTAGTATGCTGTGTACTTTGAGAGATTTTTTTCAAAAGGGGGCAGGGTAGAAAGAAAGAGAAATATGCATTTGAGTTTAGAATAATGTTAACATGAAATATGTATACCGTGTGTGATTTTATAAACATGAATTTCTGGAGGAGCAGAATTCTAGAGTATTCTGGCCCACATTAGCTTCAAGAATGGAATTATTCTTAAGAGTAAAATCACTTAAGCTAGAAGTTCCAGGCTGCTGTGAGCAGTGCCTCTACACTCCAGCCTTGGTGACAGGAGACCCCTACCTAAAACAAAACAAAACAAAACAAAAAAAGAATGAACTGTTTCCTCATTAAGGTGCAACTTATTCATGTAAGAGAGATGTTTAATGTTAAGGATTTCCTTTCCTTTCCTTTTTTCTTTCCTTTTTCTTTCTTCTTTCCTTTCTTTTCTTTGACAGAGTCTCACTCTATCACCCAGGCTGGAGTGCAGTGGCGCGATCTCTGTTCACTGCAACCTCTGCTTCCCGGCTTCAAGCAATTCTTGTGCCTCAGCCTCCCCAGTAGCTGGGACTACAGTCATGTGCCACTACACCCGGCTAATTTTTGTATTTTTAGTAGAGATGGGGTTTTGCCATGTTGCCCAGGCTGGTCTCGAACTCCTGACCTCAAATGATCTGCCCACCTCAGCCTCCCAAGGTGCTGGGATTACAGGCGTGAACCACCATACTTGGCCTGTTAAGGATTTCTTTAAATGTGGTATTTGATATATAGGCTTACACAATTAGTATATCTTAAATTATGTAATGAATTTCCCACAATCTCAGCATTTAAAAAAATGTTTGGAATAGGAAGATGCTCATAATATTTTAGGGGAAATACATGTATATATAGTGTATATATGTATGTATACAATGATCAATCTTTGGAGCAGCATAGTGTAAAAAGCGCAAGCTACGGAGTCAGACTGCTGGATGGTTCTGCCACTTCAACTGACCTAGGGACAGGTAGATTTTATTATTTGTTTCCTTTTTTGTAAAATGAAAATAATGGTACATCATGGGTGAGATGTAAACTTTAAATGAGTTAGAATGCATAAAGCATTCAGAAAAGGAGCTGGCTGGGCGTGGGTGGCTCATGTCTGTAATCCCAGCACTTCGGGAGGCCCATGGCGGGAGAATTGCTTGAGCCCAGGAATTTGAGACCAGCCTGGGCAACATAATGAGACCCCTGTCTCTAAAAAATAAAATAAAATAAATGAAAATAAAAATAAAAATAGAACATGGTCTGGCCTGTGGTAAACATTAATTGTTACTTTTATTGTAGCCTTTTTTTTTTTTAAAAAAAAGGTGAATGTCAGCAGAGAAAAACTGTTTTAAAGGATATCCATAAAATTTTTTTTGTGATTTTTCTCAGATTCATAGGATTATTAATTTTTCTTTTTATCTGTAATTCCTTTTTCCCCCGTAATGAACACGTTTCTAGTGTAATAAAGTAGAAGATAATGAAGAATAAGATTTAGTCTGAATATTTATATGAATCCTTATGAAGAAGTGTCGTTGTCTGTCATTGATACCCAAGATTTGTTGTCTCACGGCCATGGAAAACTAGGACGCAGACACACAAAGAGTGAGGTTCAGAGTGGAAGTTTAATAGGCAAAAGAAAGAGAAGAGCTCTCTGCGACAGAGATGGGTCCTGGAGAGGCTGGTCCTGGTTCTGCGGTGGAATGCAAGGGGTTTTATAGATAAGCTTGAGGAGGTGGTGTCATGATTTACATAGGGCATGAAAGATTGGTTGGACCAGGTGTGCCATTCGGGAAAACTGGTTAGGGCTAGGTGTTCCATTTGCCTAGGGTGCAAAAATCTGGCCACCCCCACCCTAATCTTTTATTATGCAGATGGCTTCTCTGTCTGCCCAGCGCAGTGTCTGTTTCTTTACTATACATGTGGTGACAAAGAAAAGGGAAGGTGAAGCCTCCATGTTGAACATACCTGGCCCCCAGGTAGCCGTTTTCTGTTAGCATAGCTGCTGACATTCACCCGTGCAAGCTTCCAGCTTGCTTTTTTATGTTTGCAGCATGATTTTTCAGGCTGCTCTTTGTTAGAAAAGAAATTCTTTTGGGGCTGCTTTTTGTTAAAAGGGGAAATTACGCCGAGGACTCTATTGCCCTTATTATCTGCGTAAATAATTTCTTTCTACCTCCTGTATCAATGATACAACAAAATCTAGAATTTGTTGCCAGGAAATTAGTAAATATTTGAATGATATTGAATGGTCTACATAGGTGATGTTATTTTATCTTGAAGCTGTTCATAATTTAGCATAGGAAACATGGCAAACATGGCAGAAATACCATGGATCATATGCTTGTTTTATTTTTAGTGTTTTTTTGTTTGTTTGTTTTGTTTTTTTTGAGACAGTCTCTCACTTTGTCAGCGCGATCTCTCGGCTCACTGCAACCACCGCCTCCAGGGCTCAAGTGATTCTCCTGCCTCAGCCTCCTGAGTAGCTGGGATTACAGGCGTACATCACCACACCTAGCTAATTTTTGTGTTTTTAGTAGAGACTGGGTTTCGCCCTGTTGGCCAGGGTGGTCTCAAACTCCTGGCCTCAAGCAGTCCATCTTCCTTGGCCTCCCGGAAAGCGCTGGGCTTACAGGCATGAGCCACTGCGCCCAGCCTGTATATCTTCTTTTGAGAAGTGTCTGTTTAAAATATAAATGAAAATAAAAATAGAACAGGGGCTGGCCTGCAGTAAGCATTAATTATGACTTTTATTGTACTTTTTTTTTTAAAAAGGTGAATATCAGCATAGCAAAACTGTTTTGAAGGATGCGCATGGTTTTTTTTTTTTTTTTTTTTTTTTCCCTTGAGGTGGAGTCTTGCTACGTTGCCAGGCTGAAGTGCAGTGGCTTGATTTCGGCTCACTGCAACCTCTGCTTCCCGGGTTCAAGCGATTCCCCTGCCTCAGCCTCCTTAGTAGCTGGGATTACAGGCACTTGCCACCACGCCCAGCTAATTTTGGTATTTTTAGTAGAGGTGGGGTTTCACCATATTTGCCAGGATGCTCTCGATATTCTGACCTCGTGATCCACCTGCCTCGGCCTCCCAAAGTACTGGGATTACAAGCGTGAGCCACCGCACCCGGCCTAAAATTTTTTTTTAGTGATTTTTCTCAGGTGTGTAGGATTATTAGATTATTTAGATCCTTAGATCTAGACTATTTAGATCCTTTGCCCATTTTAAAATCAGATTAGGTTTTTTTTGTTTTGTTTTGTTTTTGTTTTTTTGTTTGTTTTTGCTGTTGAGTTGTTTGAATTCATTTTATATTCTGGATATTAGTCCCTTCTCGGATGCATAGTTTGCAGATGTTTTCTCTCATTCTGCAGATTGTCTCTTCACTCTGTTGATTGTTTCCTTTGCTGTGCAGAAGCTTTTTAAGTTTGTTATAGTCCCATTTGTCTATTTTGGTTTTCTCACCAGTGCTTTTGAAACCTTACCAAGAAAGTCTTTTCCTAGACCAGTGTCCTCAAGTGTTTCCCCTACATTTTTTTTTCTAATAGTTTTATATGAATAGTTTCAGGTCTTACATTTAAGTCTTTAATCAGTTTTGAGTTGACTATTGCGTTTGGTAAAAGGTAGGGGTCTAATTTAATTTTTCTGCATGTGGATATCCAGTTTTCCCAGTACTATCTATTGAAGAGGGCGTCCTTTTCCCAAAGTATGGTTTTGGCTCTTTTGTTGAAAATCAGTTGGCTGTAAATATGTGGATTTATTTCTAGGTTCTCTGTTCTGTCCTATTGGTCTATGTGTCTGTTTTTATACCAGCACCATGCTGTTTTGGTTACTATAGCTTTGTAGTGTATTTTGAAGTCACATAGTGTGATGTCTTCTGCTTTGTTCTTTTTTGTTCATTATTGCTTTGGCTATTCAGGGTCTTTCTGGTTCCATATAAACTTGAGAATTGTTTTTTTATTTCTCTGAAGAATATCATTGATATTTTGATATGGATTGCATTGAATCTATAGTTTGCTTTGGAAAGTATGTTTTTTTTTTTTTTTTTTTAAGAGACGAGGTCTTGCTCTCTCATCCCAGCTACAGTGTAGTAGTATGATCATAGCTCACTGAAACCTCAAACTCTTGGGCTCAAATGATTCTCCCACATCAGCCTCCCATGTAGCTGGGATGACAGTGGTCATTTTAACAGCATTCTTCCTATCCATGAACATGGGATGTCTTTCCAATTTTTTTTGTGTCCTCTTCAATTTCTTTTATCAGTATTTTGTAATTTTCATTGTAGAGCTCTTTCACCTTCTTGGTTCAATTTATTCTTAGAGTTTGTTGTTGTAGCTTATTGTAAATGGGATTGCATTCTTGGTTACTTTTTTAGCTGGTTTGTTATTGGTGTATAGAAATGCTACTGATTTTTATATGTTGATTTTTTATCCTGCAACTTTAGTGAATTTGTTTATAAGTTCTGAGATTGTTTTGATGGAGTCTTTAGGTTTTTCTAGATATAAGAACATGTTGTCTGCAAACAGGGACATTTGACTGCCTCTTTTGCAATCTGGATGCCCTTTATTTTTTTCTCTAGCCTAAGTGCTCTGGCTGGGACTTCCAGTACTATGTTGAGTAAGAATGGTGAAAAGTTGGCATACTTGTCTGGTTCTAGTTCTTAGAGGAAATGCATTCAGCTTTTCCCTATTAAGTGTGATGTTAGCTGTCACTTTGTCATATGTGGCCTTGATTATGTTGAGGTATGTTCCTTTATTGCCTAGTTTATTGAGAGTTTTTATCAGGAAGGTATGTTGAATTTTATCCAATGTTTTTTTCTGCATCTATTGAGATAATCATATGGATTTTGTCATTCATGCTGTTGATGTGCTATATTACATTTATCGTTTTGTGTATGTTGAACCATCCTTGCATCCCTGGGATAAATCCCACTTTGTCTTGGTGTATTGTCTTTTGAATGTGCTGTTGGATTTTGTTTGCTAGTATGTTGTTGAGGATTTTTGCATCTGTGTTCATCAGGGATATTGACCATAGTTTTTGTTGTTTCTGTACCCTTGTCTGGTTTTCGCATCAAGGTAATGCTGGCTGGCCCTATAGAGTAAGTTACAAAGAATTACCCCTCTTCAGCTTTTGGGAATAGTTTGAGAAGAATTGGTGTTAGTTCTTTAAAAGTTTTGTAGAATTTAGCATTAAAGCTATCTGATCCAGGGTTTCCTTTGTTGAGAGACTTTTTATTAAAATTGATTCAGTCTTGTTACTTGGTGTTGTTCTGTTCAGGTTTACTACTTGTATTAGTCTGTTTTCATGCTGGCTGATGAAGACATACTGAGACTGGAGAGAAAAAGAGGTTTAATTGGACTTATAGTTCCACATGGCTGGGGAGGCCTCAGAATCATGGTGGGAGGCAAAGGCCACTTCTTTTTTTTTTTTTTTTTTTTTTACTATTATACTTTAAGTTTTAGGGTACATGTGCACAATGTGCAGGTTAGTTACATATGTATACATGTGCCATGCTGGTGTGCTGCACCCATTAACTCGTCATATAGCATTAGGTATATCTCCTAATGCTAACCCTCCCCCCTTCCCCCACCCCACAACAGTCCCCAGAGTGTGATGTTCCCCTTCCTGTGTCCATGTGTTCTCATTGTTCAATTCCCATCTATGAGTGAGAACATGCGGTGTTTGGTTTTTTGTCCTTGTGATAGTTTACTGAGAATGATGGTTTCCAGTTGCATCCATGTCCCTACAAAGGACATGAACTCATCATTTTTTACGGCTGCATAGTATTCCATGGTGTATATGAAAAGGCACTTCTTACATTGAGGCGGCAAGAGAAAAATGAGGAAGAAGCAAAAGCGGAAACCCCTGATAAACCCATCAGATCTCATGAGACTTATTCACTATCACAAGAATAGCATGGGAAAGACTGGCCCCATGATTCAGTTACCTTCCCTTGGGTCCTTCACATAACGTGGGAAATTTTTTTTTTTTTTTTTTGAGACGGAGTCTCGCTTTGTTGCCCAGGCTGGAGTGCAGTGGTGCGATCTCGGCTCACTGCAAGCTCTGCCTCCTGGGTTCACGCCATTCTCCTGCCTCAGCCTCCTGAGTAGCTGGGACTACAGGTGCCCACCACCACGCCTGGCTAATTTTTTTGCATTTTTAGTAGAACGAGGTTTCACCGTGTTAGCCAGGATGATCTCGATCTCCTGACCGCGTGATCCACCTGCCTCGGGCCCCCCAAAGTGCTGGGATTACAGGCGTGAGCCACCACGCCTGGCCACATGTGGGAATTCTTGGAGATACAATTCATGTTGAGATTTGGGTATAGTACACTATATCACTGCTTCTTCCTGGTCCGATCTTGGCAAGTTCTATATATCCAGGAATTTATCCATTCCTTCTAGGTTTTCCAATTTGTTGGTGTATAGTTGTTCATAATGGCGTCTAATGATTCTTTGTATTTCTGTGGTTTCCTTTTTCATTTCAGATTTTGTTTGAGTCTTCTCTCTTCTTAGTCTAGCTAATGGTTTGTGGATTTTGCTTATCTTTTCAAAAAACCAAGTTTCTGGCTGGGCGTAGTGGGCCATGCCTGTAATCCCAGCACACTGGTAGGCTGAGTCCGCAGATCACTTGAGCCCAGGAGTTCGAGATCAGCCTGGGCAAGATGGTGAAACCCTGTCTCTACTATAAAAAAAAAAAAAAAAGTTGCTGGGCGTGGTGGTGTATGCCAGTAATCACAGTTACTTGGGAGGCTGAGGCATGAGAATCACTTGAACCTGGGAGGCATAGGTTGCAGTGAGTTGAGATTGCACCACTGCACTCCAGCCGGGGTGACAGAGCAAGACCCTGTCTCAGAAACAGCAGCAACAACAACAAGAACAATCCCCAAAACAAGTTCTTGTTTCATTGATGTTTTATATGTGTCTCTCTCTAATTATCTAATCTAATTGAATCTCTCTCTCCCCCCCATATCTCCATATCTCCATCTCTTGCTTTCTCTTTCTCTCTCTCTGGTTTCTATTTTGCTTATTTCTGCTCTGGTCTTTATTTCTTACACTAATTTTGAGTTTGGTTTGTTCTTGCCTTTCAGGTTCCTTGAGATGCATTGCTAGGTTGTTTATTTAAAATCTGTCTTCTTTTTTGATATAAGTATTTATTGCTGTAAACCCCCCTCTTTGTACTGCTTTTGCTGTTTCCCAGAGGTTTTGGTATGTTGTGTTTTTTTTTCTTCTTTTCTTCTTTTTTTTTTTTTTTTTTTGAGACGGAGTCTTGCTCTGTCACCCAGGCTGGAGTGCAGTGGCATGATCTCGGCTCACTGCAAGCTCTGCCTCCCGGGTTCACTCCCACCTCAGCCTCCCTAGTAGCTGGGACTACAGGCACCCACCAGCACACCTGGCTAATTTTTTATATTTTTAGTAGAGACAGGGTTTCACCGTGTTAGCCAGGATGGTCTTGATCTCCAGACCTCGTGATCTGCCCGCCTCGGCCCCCGAAGTGCTGGGATTACAGGTGTGAGCCAATGCGCCCGGCCTTTTCTTTTCTTTTTTTGAAAATGAAGACGGGGTTTTGCCATGTTGCCCAGGCTGGTGTCGAACTCCTGAGCTCAAGCCATCTGCGTGCCTCAGTCTCCCAAAGTGCTGGGATTTCAGGCATGAGCCACCACACCTTGTCATTATGTTGTGTTTCTATTTCGGTTTTTTTTCCAACAAATCTTTTGAATTCCTTTTAAATTTCTCCATAGACCCAGTGGTTTTTCAGGTGTTTAGTTTCCAAAGTTCTTGTTTTTGATGTCTAGTTTTATCCCACTGTGGTCTGGGAAGATACTTGATATGATTTTAGTTTTACAAAATTTGTTGAGACTTGTTTCGTGGCCTAACATATGGTTTATCCTAGAGAATGTTCCATGTGCTGATGAGGAGAATGTATATTCTGTAGCTGTTGCATGGAATGTTCTATGAATGCCTGTTAGATCCATTTGGTCCATAGTTCCACTGAAGACCAGTGTTTCTTTGTTGATTTTCTGTCTAGATGATCTGTTCAGTGGTGAAAGTGGGGTGGTGAAGTCCGCAATTATTCTTATATTGGGATCTATGTCTCTAGCTCTAATAATATTTGCTTTATAGCTGGGTGCTTTGGTGTTAGGTGCATATGTGTTTATAGTTGTTACGTCCTTTTGCTGAATTGATCCCTTTATCATTATATAATGTCCCTTTTTATGTTTTTTGACTTGAAAGTCTATTTTGTTTGATATAAATATAGCTACTCCTTCATGCGTCTGGTTTCCATTTATGTGGAGTATCTTTTTCCATTCCTTCATTTTCTTTTTTTTTGAGACGGAGTTTCACCCTTGTTGCCCAGGCTGGAGTGACTGTAGTAGCATGATCTTGGCTCACTGCAATCTCTGCCTCCCGGGTTCAAGCGGTTCTCCTGCCTTAGCCTCCCAAGTAGCTGGGGATTACAAGCATGTGCCACCACGCCTGGCTGATTTTTTGCATGTATGTATGTATGTATGTATTTATTTAGTTTTTGAGATGGAATATTGCTCTGTCGCCCAGGCTGTAGTGTGGTGGCATGATCTTGCTTCACTGCATCCTCCACCTCCTGGGTTCCAGTGATGCCCCTGCCTCAGCCTCCTGGGTATCTGGGATTACAGGCATGTGCCACCACGCCTGGCTAATTTTTGTATTTTTAGTAGAGACGGGGTTTTCACCATTTTGGCTAGGCTGGTCTCGAACTGCTGACTTCAGGTGATCTACCTGCCTTGGCCTCCCAAAGTGCTGGGATTACAGGTGTGAGCCACCGCACCTGGCTTATTCCTTCATTTTCTATGTGTGTTTTTACATGTGAAGTGAGTTTCTTGTAGACAGCATATAGTTGAGTCTTTTTTTAAAAAAAAATCCACTCATTCAGCCTATATCTTTTAATTGGGGAATTTAAACCATGTACATTCAAGATTGTTCTTGATATGTGAAGGCTTACTCCTGTCATTTTGTTGTTTTCTGATTGCTTTGTATATCCTATGTTCCTTTTTTCCTCTCATTGTTTATCCTTGCTGTTTGGTGGTATTCTGTAGTGATAACATTTGACTAGTTTCTCTTTCTCATTTGTATATTTGCTTTGCCAGTGAATTTTATACTTTTATGTGTTTTCGTGATGATACATATTATTCTTTCCCTTCCAGATGTAAGACTCTCTTCAGCATTTTGTATGGCTGGTTTAGTGGTGAATTTTTTCAGTTTTCATTTGTCTGTGAAAGACTTTATTTCTCCTTCATTTCTGAAAGATAGCTTTGCTGGGTATAGTATTCTTGGCTAACAATTTTTTTGCTCCCCACCCCCTTCATTCAGCAGTTTGAATATATCATTTCATTCTCTCCTGACTTGTAAAGTTTCTGCTGAGAAATCTGCCATTAGTCTGATGGAGATTCCCATACATGTGACTTGAGGATTTTCTCTTGCTGTTTAAAAAACTTTTTTTTTTTTTTGAGAGACATTATTCTGTTTCCCAGGCTGGATTGCAGTGGCTAGTCACAGGCACAATCATGTCTCACGACAGCCCTCCAACTCTTGGCCTCAAGCAATCCTACCCACTCAGCCTCCTGAGTATTCTCTTGCTGTTTTCAGAATATTCTTTTTTATTACTGTGATTATTATTATTTTTAGAGATAGGGTCTTGCTCCATTGCCCAGGCTGGTGTGTGATGGTTCAGTCATAGCTCACTGCAGCCTTGAACTCCTGTGTTCAAGTGATCTTGCCTCAGCTTCTTGAGTAGCTAGGACTACAGCTAAAAGATTGGCCATCCCTGGCTACTTTTTACATTTTTTGTATAGATAGGGTCTTGCTATGTTGCCCAGGCTTGTGTCAAACTCCTGGCCTCAAAGAATCCTCCCGCCTGGCCTCCCAAAGCATTGGGATTGCAGGAGTTAGCCACCGTGTTCAGTGTAGAATTCTGTTTTTATCATTTACTTTTGACAACTTGGCAATAATGTACCTTAGAGAGGACTTTCTTTGGGCTGAATATGTTTTGGGATCTTTGAATACCAAAGATTCGAGGGATATATGCCTGTATCTCTGCTGAGACTTCGGAAGTTTTCCGCTATTATTTCATTAAACAGGTTGTCTATGCCATTTACCATCTCTTCTGAAATTCCCAAAGTGCAAGTAGTTGTTCACTTAATGGTGTCCCATATGCCATGTGGGCTTTATTCTTTTTTATCCTCTCTTCTTTTTCTTCTGAGTTTTTTCTTTTTTTTTCTTTTTCTTTTTTTGAGGCAGAGTCTCGCTCTGTTGCCCAGGCTGGAGTGCAGTGGCACGATCTTGGCTTACTGCAACCTCCGCCTCCTGGGTTCAAGTGATTCTGCTGCCTCAGCCTCCTGAGTAGCTGGGATTACAGGTGTGCACCATCACACCCAACTAATTTTTGTATTTTTAGTAGAGGGAGGGTTTCACCATGATGGCCAGGCTGGTCTCAAACTCCTGACCTCAGGTAATCTGCTCACCTCGGCCTCCCAAAGTGCTGGGATTACAGGTGTGAGCCACCGCGCCCAGCCCTGTCTGAGATTTTGCAAAAGACCTGTCTTCAAGTTCAGAAAATCTGCTTGATGTAGTCTATTCTATTTTTTATTTCACTCAATGAATTCTTTAATTTCACAATTTGTTTGTTTGTTTGATATATATCTCCTTGTTGAATTTTTCACTGATGAATTGTTTTCCTATTTCTTTGTACCGTTTGTGTGTGTGTGTGTGTGTGTGTGTGTGTGTGTGTGTGTTTGTATATTGCTGAGTTTCCTTAAGATCATTATTTTTCATTTTTTTCAGGCATTTCAGAGATTTCTTTTTTTGGGGCGGGGGGGGACGGATTTCTTCCTAGAGAATTAATTGAGTTTCTTTTGAGGTGTTGTATTTCCCTTGCTTTTTTATGTTTCTTGTGTCTACTTTGGCATCTGTGCATCTGGTGCAGCAGCTGCTCCTTCCAATTTTATGGAGCAGCTTTTGTGCGGAAATACTTTTTCCTGCAGGTATATCTACAGTATTGGCTGGATAACGTGCTTTGGCCGTACAATAGAGTAGTATTCAGCCATGAAAAGGAATGAAGTTCTGATACATGCTGCAGTGTGGATATACCTCCAAAACTTTATCCTGACTGAAAGGAGCCAGATACAAAAGATCACTTATTGTATGGTTCCGTGTATATGTAATATATTTTGTAGATAAATCTACAGATGTAGAATGCTAATTGGTGGTTGCCAGAGGCTGGGAAGAATGAGGAATGGGAAGAAACTGCTGGGTAAGGAGTTTTAACTTTGGAGTGATGGAAATATTATGGAACTAGGTAGAGGCAGTCATTGCGGAACACTGTGAACGTACTAAATGTTACTGAATTGTTCACTTTAAAATGGTTAATTTTATGTTATATGAACTACACCTCAATACATTATTTTTTAAAAGTTTTATGAACAGTCATAAATTAAAACAAATATTCGCTATGGCGATTAATATAATTGCCCTGTGTTGAGGATTTACCGGGAGCTGGAGCCTTCACATATATTGATTCTAAGCCTTATGTCAGCATTGCAAGATAGATTAGGAAGAACAAAGAACTATATTAGTAGTTTAAAATAATGGCTTTAAACTGCTTTACACCTTGTTTATCAAATCAAGTGAGCCCTTGAAATTTAATCAGGGACTGGACGGTAGGGGGCACCCATGGTACTTATGTTGCTCTGGCTATGTTGAGAGCGTCTTAAGTCATAAACACAGATTTGTTGAATGAGTTTGATACTTTGAAAATTATCACCTAGAGGCCGGGTGCGGTGGCTCACGCCTGTAATCCCAGCACTTTGGGAGACTGAGGCAGGTGGATCACGTGAGGTCAGGAGTTTGAGACCAGCCTGGCCAACATGGTGAAACCTCATCTCTACTAAAAATAGAAAAATTATCCGGGTGTGGTGGTAGGTGCCTGTAATCCCAACTATTCAGGAGGCTGAGGCAGGAGAATTGCTTGACGCTGGGAGGTGGAAGTTGCAGTGAGCTGAGATTGCGCCATTGTAGTCCAGCCTGGGCAACAGAGCGAGACTCTGTCTCAAAAAAAAAAAAAAAAAAATTAGCAAGAAGGATCTTATTACGAACTTATGTTTATTTGAGTTTGGTATTTTATCTTTCAGTTTTAAGTTTTGTAGTTGAAAATATGGAACTATAGGCATGTGCCACCACACCCAGCTAGTTTTTGTATTTTTTATAGAGACGGGGTTTTGCCATGTTGCGCAGACTGGTCTCGAACTCTTGGGCTCAAGCAATCTGCCTGCCTCCACCTCCCAAAGTGTTGGAATTACAGGTGTGAGCCTCTGTGCCCGGCCAAAACATAAGTTTTATGATATAATACTTGCTCTATGGACGATGTTAGATGTTTTAAGTTTTATTTTCTTTTAATGAAAAAAGATTGGCAACCACTAAATTGTTTTTACAACTCATTTTTTAACAAGCCAGTTTGAAAAGTTTTTAGTGTAAAATGCCAGTGTTTCTGCTATCCGATGAAAAGCATCAGGTTCTATAAAATTTTACTATTGGAAAGTTAGGGTTTGGGGAAGAGTATTCTAAATATATGTAACTTTGTAATCATAACACAAACAGAAGTAATGTTAATAAATGGTACCTCAGGAGATTACTTGGATAGCACTAGGATGCCAGGTGATAGTAGCCAGAGAATGCTTCAACATATATTCAAAACTCACCGAAGTAATTTAGTAGAAATGCTTGCTTACAGTGCTGAGAAATTGCTGATGGAAGTGGATCTCTGAGCGCAGGAAAAAGTGCAGCCTGTCTTGAGCAGAGGGCCATGAGTGCTCAGGGGTGTGCCCCTGTAGGAAGGGAGCCCTGGATACAGGTGCTCTGTTTTAGTTTTCTCAAAATAGAGCTGAAAGGATCACTATTTATTCAGCAGCCAAGCAGAGGGCATTTTCCTTTCCTGCTGAAGGCTGCAATTCTGCCTGTCTTTGTAGTTCTCTTGCCTAGGAAAAGGTACATATGAATCAGCACAGCTTTGTTATAATGATAGTTCTCTATTTATCATGATCATGTATGAGCTAATTTATATTGTAAAAAATATATTTAGAACAAAACTGTGTGTGTGTCCAGTGTAGTTTGCCAATTTTACTGTATTTCATTTTAGCCACTGCTTTTTTTTTTTTTTTTTTCCTTCTGAGACAGAGTCGCTCTGTCGCCCAGGCTGGAGTGCAGTGGCGCGATCTCAGCTCACTGCAGCATCCGCCTCCCGAGTTCAAGTGATTCTCCTGCCTCAGCCTCCCAAGTAGCTGGGACTATAGGCGCCCACCACCAAGCCCAGCTAATTTTTGTATTTTTAGTAGAGATGGGTTTTCTCCATCTTGGCCAGGCTGGTCTCGAACTCCTGACTTTGTGATCTGCCCACCTCGGCCTCCCAAAGTACTGGGATTACAGGCGTGAGCCATTGCGGCCGGCCTAGCCACTACTTTTTAGAGTAATTGCCATAGCTGGTTGTGTCAGTTTGACATTTTGATTTCAAAGATTGTATTATAGTCGTTTGCCAAATGTCAAACAGTGAGTTCAGTGTTCTTGAATGATAGGCATAAACTCACTGGTGCTTTGTTTGTTAACAGTATTATATAAGATGATTTTATAACTTTTTTTTTTTTTTTTTTTTTTTTTTGAGATGGAGTCTTGTTCTGTCCCCCAGGTGGAGTGCAGTGGCGCCATCTCGGCTCACTGCAAGCTCCGCCTCCTGGGTTCGTGCCATCCTCCTGCCTCAGCCTCCCGAGTAGCTGGGACTACAGGCACCTGCCACCAAGCCCGGCTAATTTTTTGTATTTTTAGTAGAGACGGGGTTTCACCGTGTTAGCCAGGGTGGTCTCGATCTCCTGACCTCGTGATCCACCCGCCTTGGCCTTCCAAAGTGCTGGGATTACAGGCGTGAGCCACTGTGCCCGGCCCCCCCCTTTTTTTTTTTTTTTTTTGAGACGAAGTCTCACTCTGTCGCCCAGGTTGGAGTGCAGTGGTGTGATCTCGGCTCACTGCAACCTCCGCCTCCTGAATTCAAGCGATTCTCCTGCCTCAACCTCCTGAGTAGCCGGAATTACAGGCAGGCACCACCACGCCTGGCTAATTTTTGTATTTTTAGTAGAGTTGGGGTTTCTCCATGTTGGTCAGGCTGGTCTTGAACTCCTGACCTTGTGATCCGCCTGCCTCGGCCTCCCAAATTGCTGGGATTACAGATGTGAGGCATCGCGCCCACCTTATAATTTCTTATTTTGTCTGTAAACTCTGTGTATAGTGCTGAAATGAGAGCTTCCCTTGACTCTAAAGAGTATATTTATATTGCCCAATGAAGCTTTTATGTATTGATTTCAGGTTATTGGCTGCCTAACTTTAATACTTAAGTGAACTTATAACTTGATTAGAACCTTGATGATACTGGGTAGGTAGGGATTTTCAAAAAGCAGGCGGATTTTACTTACAGGCCAGTCTCAAGGACAACTATTGCTTTCTAGCTTTAAAATGTCCCTCAGTAGTGTACATTTGAAGGTCTGGCAAATTTCTTAGTTTTAGTGTTCATTGTTTCTTGACTGGAGACTAACTTTGGAACTGACTTTGGAGTATGTGGAAGAGTGTATTGTTAGGGTAGCACTGTTAAGATTCTTGATCTGTGTATTTTTTGTTTTTGAGACATAGTATCGCTCTATAGTCCAGGCTGGAGTGCGGTGGTGTGATCATGGATCATTGTACCCTTGACCACCCCAGCTCAAGTGATCCCCCAGCGTCAGCCTCCTGAGTAGCTGAGACCACAAGCACGTGCCACCATGCCAGGCTCATTTTAAATTTTTTTGTGGAGACAGGGCCCCGCCATGTTGCCCAGGCTGGTCTTTACCTCCTGGGCTCAAGCAGTTCTTCCTCCTCAGCCTCCCAAAGTACTGAGATTGTAGGCATGAGCTACTGCGTCTGGCCTGATCTCTGTATTCTTTGAGAAGAATATTCTATTCACCCTCCTTTACTTTATAAGCACAATTGTACCATCTTCAGGAAGCATTCATTATCTTTTGCAATGTTACTTCTCTCTAAACGCGGAGTAGATAACATAGTACTTTGTAGAGTTATTTCTTTAATATTCTTTCCTCATTACAAAGTAATATTAACATATGATAAAAAAATGTTTAAGAATACTAAAGGGTATGTAGGAAAAGAAACCTTCTATACTTCTATGTGTCATAGACATATTCAGCTGGGTTGATGCATGCATGTGTACACATACCACACACATTTCTTTCGTTCTTTTTTTTTTTTTTTTTTGAGACGGAGTCTCGCTCTGTCGCCCAGGCCGGACTGCAGACTGCAGTGGCGCAATCTCGGCTCACTGCAAGCTCCACTTCCCGGGTTCACGCCATTCTCCTGCCTCAGCCTCCCGAGTAGCTGGGACTACAGGCGCCCGCCACCGTGCCCGGCTAATTTTTTGTATTTTTAGTAGAGACGGGGTTTCACCTTGTTAGCCAGGATGGTCTCAATCTCCTGACCTCATGATCCACCCGCCTCGGCCTCCCAAAGTGCTGGGATTACAGACGTTAGCCACCGCGCCCGGCCTCTTTCGTTCTTTTAGAGAGACAGAGTCTCACTGTGTTGCCCAGGCTGGAGTGCAGTGGCACAATCATAGCTAACTGAGCCTCAAACTCCTGGGCTCCAGTGATCCTCCTGCCTCTGCTGCCTGAGTAGCTAGGACTACAGGTGTGAACTAATAGCCCTGGCTAATTTTTAAAAAATTTTTTGTAGAGACAGGATGTCGCTCTGTTGCCTGGGCTGGTCTCGAATTCCTAGCCTTAAGCAATCCTCCCTCCTCAGCCTCCCAAAGTGCTGGGATTATAGGTGTTAGCCACTACACCTGGCCCTCACACTCTTTATATGACTTTAAAGAACTGATTTAAAAACTTTAGAGCATCTGCCCTATGTTACTAAATATTCTTCAGGAAGGTTATTTTAAATGACTATATGAAATGATGTCATATTTTTAGCTGTTCTTTTATTGTTGGATAGTTAGGGTATTCCTTCTTTTTATTATAATACTGTTATGACTATCTTTGTTAATACATTTTCACATTTTCTGATTATTTTCCTAAGGTAGATTGCTAAATAATTGAACCTGTTTGTCAAAGATGATCAAAGGAATTACAGGAGAGTCCTTTTCCCCCCATATACATTATATATTATTAAAGTGTTTAACATATTTTAACATAGTTAACATTACTTTGTAATGAAAAAAATGTTACAAAAATGAGTCCACAGATTATTATATTATCTACCTTGTGTTTGGAGAGAAAAGCAACATTGCTAAAATACAGTCTCTGCTTCTTGATGATGACACAATTGTGCTTATAAAATGAAAGAGGTGTATTATAATATTCTTAAAGAATACGTGTTTTTAAAGTAGCTCTTGATCAGCCCTTCTCAATTCCATCCTTGAGGAAATTAAGCTCTGATGCCTTGAGGCATCTACTATGGGTAGTGAAATTAACGTATTTCCTGTGCGTCTTGAACTCTACTGGCTTGAATTATCCTTGAGAGAATTGAGAAAACAGTCATGAAATTATTTTATGTAGGGCTTAATTCTTTAGCAGAATACAGTGCTGGTTTAGAAAGGCTGTTCTGGATATACCTATTGACAGATTGTTTTCCATAAAATTAGACCATCTCACTAGCAGTGTGTAAGAATGCCTGTCTCACTTCCCATCTTAATGTTATCTTCAAAGATCTTTTCCCTGAAAAAAAATCTTGCCTGTTTTATAGGTTAAAAAGTATTATTTTGTTTTAATTTGCATTTTTTGGTTTACATTTTTCTTGTGTTTACTGGCTATTTGGGTATTATCTGTGAATTGCGTATTTTTTGTTAATTTTTCTTGGGGAAGGGAAGAGCTTAATATTTAATTTATATGGGCTCTATATAGTGAGGATAAAGTTTTTCCTCTCACATTTGTTATAAATAATTTTCAGTGTTTGTCATTTGCTCTTTAGTCTTTATATTTTTGATGTATACACATTTTATATTGGTAAGCAGTAAAATGTACCACACTTTTTTTTTTTTTTTTTTTTTTTGCAATTCCTTACATTTCTTTTTTGCTTGGAAAGGCCTTCTTTATCTGAATGAGTATCATTAAATGTGTATATATATTTTTTATTTTCTAATTAATTTGCATTTTACTCTTAGTTCTTTAATCTTCCTTAAGAATTTATTTTGTATTTTTGTGTGAGGAGACAAACTTATTTTGATGTTTTCCTAATAACTGAAGAACGTTCTACACAGTGTATGGGTAAATGATCAGTGTCTTTCCTTTTGGTTTGTGGCATTTTGTTGTTGTTGTTGTTAAGTGCTTATATATTATACGATCTATTTTTCTGTTTGTTATCCTTTTTTCTAGTACTTTTTTATAGTACTAGATTGATTTAATTATTACAGGCTTATAATTTTGTATTAATGGCCGGTTGGGCATTAAAAAAATTTCCCTCCCGTATCTGTATTTTTGCCATTCTCACTCTTTATTCTTAGGTGCTGCCCAATACTCTTACCCAACTCTTTTTATATCCCAGCTGCCTCAGGGCTCAGCTCAGATGCTGTTTCTTCAAAGGGCCCTCCTGAACCCAACACTATCTAAAGTAGAAAATCCTGTACCCAATCTGCCATATTATCCTATCTCTTCAATATCATTTATCACAATCTGTAAATAACATTCTTGACAGTTTGTCTACTCTCTTTTTCATTGGAATTTCGGTTCCATGAGGGTAAAGATCTTATTTTTCTTGCTTACTGCTGTACCCCTTGTACCTGACACATGGTACATACTCAATAAATATATTTTGGATCACTGAATAAATTAAAAATGAGCTTTAGAACTGTTCTTTTTCTCAGTCAGCCACAACTAAGGTTGTGTTAAACCTACAAATTATTTTTCAAGTATGGCTTGGGCCAGGTATGGTGGCTCATGTCTGTAATCCCGGCACCTTGGGAGGATGAGGTGGGCAGATTGCTTGAGCCGAAGACTTCATGACCCGCCTGGGCAACGTGGTGAAACCTCATCTGTAAAAAAAATAAAAAAGTTAGCCAAGTGTCGTGGCATGCACTTGTGGTCTCAGCTACTGTGGAGGCCGAGGTGGGAGGATCACTCGAGCCTGGGAAGTTGAGGCTGCAGTGAGCCAGGATTGCACCACTGCACTTCAGCCTGGGTGACAGAGTGAGACCCTGTGTCAAAAAAATAAAAATAAAGTATGGCTTTTTTTTTAATTGATTAAAAGTTTATTTACTTGTTCCAGCAAAGTGTTGTAGTTTTCTTCATTTAAGTGTTGCGTATTTCTTGTCAAGGTTACTACTATGTAATTTGTAAAATTTTTTTGCCTACTTTGAATGGATTTTTTCCCTATCATATTTTTTCAGTAATTAAAAATTGAAACAATCTCAAATTTAGAGAAAAATTCCAAATACGGTAAAAATAACTTTTTTGCCTCTGTAACCATTTGAGGATAAATTGCCAACCTATATGTCATCATACCGCTCCCCTTCATACAGTGTATGTTTCCCACAAAAAGGGACCTTTGGCATAACCATCACATTCAGGAAATTACCTTTAAATTCAAATTTTGTTTGTTGTTCTAATAAACAAAAATAATCTTTGTAAATAAAAAAGATTGAGTTTAGAATCACAGGTTACATGTCTCTCTTATCTCCTTCAGTCCACAGGTTGCATGTCTCTTTCATCTCCTTCAATCTGGGACACTTTCTGTCTGTTTTTGGCTTCATGACCTGGATACTTTCAAGGTTTACAGACTAGTAGTTTTATAGAATATACTTCTATTTGGATTGTCTTATGTTTCTTCATTATATGCTCAGGTTGTATATCACTGAAAAGAATATCACAGAAGTGATGCTCTGTTCTTGTCATTGTACCCTGGCAGGTGGCACATGATTGTCAGGCTGTCTTATTACTGAAGATGATCACTTTGATTGCTTGAGCAAGGTGATAATATCTTTCCAGCTTCTCCACTGGGCAGTTACTCTCCTTTTGTAATTAATACTTATTTTGTGAGGAGATACCTTGAGACTATATACATATCTCATTCTTCATCAACTGTTCAATTTATTTATGTCATATCTGTATGGATTTATAGATCCCTGTTTTTTTCAGTAGTTTGTATGTAATCACCATTATTGAATTTGATGCTCAATCTGTCCAAGAGTTGGCCAGTAGGAGCCCATTCAAGCTCACTCCTGTGTCTGGTAGACATGTTCCTGTTATTCTTTGAGTACTTCCTTTCTTTCTGGCGTGAAAATTTTAGGTTCACTAAAGTTATTTAATATTCTTGTGTGAATATTTAAGTTTTCTTGTTTTGTATAGAAACCTTAAGGTTAAACAAGTAGCTTTATTTGAAATGTCAATTACCCCTGTAATATGGGGACCAAAAATTTTGTTCAAAACTGTCAGAAAAACCTGTGCATGGTGGCATGCATGCCTGCAGTCCCAACCACTCAGGAGAGGCTGAGGTGGGAGGATTGCTTGAGCTCAGGAATTTGAGATCAACCTGGGCAGTAAAGCGAAACCCCCATCTCTCTATTAAACACACATGCACACACACACACAGGAAATTGTCAGAATAAAGACATGTATAAGCATCTATCCCTGCTCATATATTTGGATTAAAAAAATGCTAAGCATCAGTAAAGAATCGGGTATCCCTGTGTGACTACTTAATTTTTTTTTTAGTTCCTAAAGTGAAAAGTAATTATTTTTGTATGCAATAAATAAGAAAGGACCAGAAGAGAAACTTGATTGTTGTGTCTTTTAAGCCTTTAGGTTCCTTATCTCCAAGATAATTTTATAGGGATTTTTGAGATCAAAATTTTGGCACCTTAGTGTACAAGTACAACAGTACTTGGCATTTTGTAGAGATTCTCAGGGAAATATGTTATTTTATGATGTTAGGTGAAAGGAGGAGAGAAATTAGAATTATTCCCAATCTTTTCTGTTTCCTCTCTCTTTCCTTCTTTGAGAGAGATTATAGTTGAAAAGAGGAAGCAGCAAGGTGGGAAGGAACATAGATGGAGAGAGATGTTTAAGTTTTTGAAGCGATGATGATGAGATGAGTTTTTTTTTTTTGAGACGGAATCTCACTCCGTCACCTAGGCTGGAGTGCAGTGGCACAATCTCAGCTCACTGCAACCTCCACTTCCCGGGTTCAAGCGACTCTCCTGCGTCAGCCTCCTGAGTAGCTGGGATTACAGGCGCCCGCCACCACGCCCAGCTAATTTTTGTATTTTTAGTAGAGACGGGGTTTCACCATGTTGGTTAGGCTGGTGTCGAACTCCTGACCTTGTGATCTGCCTGTGTTGGCCTCCCAAAGTACTGGGATTACAGGCGTGAGCCACCGCGCCCGGCGATGCTGAGATCTTAATTAAGACTCTAAGTTTTGGAGAGAGATGTTCAAGTTTTTCATCTTTACCTGAGAATCCCTACAAAATGCCAAATACTGTAATTGTACACTAAGGTGCCAAAATTTTGATCTCAAAGATCCGTATGAAATTATCTTGGAGATAAGGAACCTGAAGGCTTAAAAGACACAAGAATCAAGTTTCTCTTCTGGCCCTTTCTTATTTATTACATACAAAAATAATTACTTTTCCCTTTAGGAATTAAAAAAAAAAAGTAGTCACTCAGGGATACCTGATTCTTTACTGATGCTTAGCATTTTTTTGTGAATAATTTTTATCCCTCTAACAGTAAAATGATGTTAAAAGCCCTTGAAAAAATGAAAATTAATTGCATTTCATACCCTTGAAGCTCTGATTTTATTGATAATTTTGTTTTTTAAGTGAACAAAACCTCAAAATATACTAGCAAGGTAAATTTATTGATTTCTCCTCTTATGCCCGATTGCTTATCAATTTGGTTCTTTTGTCTAAGAATGATCCAGTTAGCAGACTAATTTTTTTTCAACAGGGAACTTTCGCCTTCTTACACTGTGTTCTCATTGGAGCATTGCATAGTCTCTGCATACGTAGAGCGTGAAGATGGTGTCTTTATGTATACCTTCTTAAGTAAGCTAAACTGTCTTGAAAATGGCAGTAAGTGGCACATTAAGACACAAAAGGTTATTTCTTTTTTGGCGAATGGTTGTTTGTTTAAATGGAGAAACATAAGGTCTTATATTGAGAGGTAGATTTATTTAATATTCCATAGATGTAATTTTAAAAATATTTCTCCTGTCTCAGAATGAAGTGAGGGTTCTGCTAAGACAGCTTTGTAATTCACAGCTTTCTTTGAAAATGCTGTACCTTTATTCCTTATTGATGGACTTGAATGCACAATCATTTGTGGGGTTTTTTTGTTTTGTTTTTATGAAATAGCAGTTTGATCATTTATACCAAAAGTTAGTGCTATATGATTAGATATCAAGGTTCCTTAGATAGAAGCATTCCAGGCTGGATATCTGACTCCTTTTATCATCTGCATGGTGTACTTAGCTGTATATAAAATGGAAAAGTAGCAAGTTTAAATGACTGGTAAAGTTGGAGGCACACTCTGCTACCCAGCGGTTCTATTTCTGTGTCTTCTTGAGAGAAACTTTTACCCATGTGCTCAAGGATCTATATAGATGGAGGTGTAATTTATTATAATGGTGATCTAGATAGGATCTAGATAGATGGAGGTGTATTTATTATAATAGTGAATAAGTACAAAAATACTTAACTGTTCCTCAGTAAGTGAATGGATACATTGATATTATTCGTATAGTGGAATTCAAGTAAACAATCCTTATCTCCAGAATACTTAGGGCAGATGTATTTTGGAATTTAGAAATTTTTAAACTTTAAAGGTAATTCGGTATGTATACCATTTATTGTATAACACTCCCATTGGGATTTGGGAAACACCTCATAATCAAACATACTAATTTTTCTGTAGCAAAATTTATGAATATTCATATTAAGTGGGATAAATAGATTTTAAATGGCTTCATACTATTTGGGTTAATTACATTTTTTAATTAAGTTATGGGAAAACTTAAGAGCTTTTTGGATTTTAGATTTTTGGAAAAAGAATTCTGAACCCATATTATAAAGTTCATAAAATGAATGAAATCGAGCTACATGTATCGATGTGGATAAATCTGAAGCATATTATGTTAAGTAACAAAAGGAAGTTGCAGAGATAACCTTGTGCAAATGACATCATTTATGTGAATTGTTAAATAAGCAACAGTGAGAGAGAGAGAGAGAGCTCTGAAGCAAATAAGGCAAATTATTGGTAGTGGTTTTCTTACTTTGTTGTATGTTTGAATGTGTCTTTATAACCTCAAACTTCAGCTTTTAAACCTTCTGTTTTACCTTAAGAATGTAAGGTTACATTGAGTTAGGCAATAAGAGTATGCTACAAAGCATGTCAGAACTGGAAGAGTTCTTTAAAATCATTTAAATTATCATCCCTTCTTTTTTTCTTACTTTCTTTTTTTCTTTTCTTTTTTTTTTTGGAGGCAGGGTCTCACTCTGCCGCCCAGGCTGGAGTATAGTGGCATGATCATGGTTCACTGCAGCCTCAGACTCCTGGGCTCAGGGAAACCTCCTGAGTATCTGGGACTATAGATGCATGCCACTGTGCCCAGCTAATTTTTTTAATTTTTTTGTAGAGACAGTGTCTGTGTTGCCCAGGCTGGTCTTGAACTCCTGGGCTCAAGCAGTCCTTCCTCCTCGGCTTCTCAAAGTGCTGGGATTATAGGTGTGAGCCACTGTGCCTGGTCTACTCTTCCTTCTTCTAATCCAAGTCATTCCTACTTGTTAAGAGATTCTCTTGAATATTTATTTATTTTCCCTTTTTAAACCTTAGACCTTTTACTTCTTTTCAAAACATATTTTGGTTGAGATATAGTTTCCATACAGTGAAATGCACACACCTTAAGTATCTTGTTTCCATGAGTTTTGACAAATGCCAACACCCGTGTAATCCACAATTCTGTCAAGATACAGAACATTTCCATCATCCCACAAAGTTCCCTTGCATCTCTCCCCAGTTCGCATCATCCCTGCCCCCCAGCACAGGTAGTGTTCTGATTCCTTTCACTTTAATTTTACGTGTTCTCGAACTTCATTTAAATGGAATCATACAGTCTGTACCCTGTTGTGTCTGGCTTTTGTTGCTCAGTGTGTTGTTTTTTACATTTATCCATGTTGTTGCATGTATCCATAGTTATCCTTTTATATACTGAGTAACACTCCATTGTGTGAATGTGGTACTATCAGTTTATCCAATCTTCTGTTGATGGACATTTGTGTTGTTTCCAGTTTTTGGCTCTTATAGATAAAACCACTGTAAACATTTTTATATGGTTGTGTTTATTGGTACATGTTTTCATTTCTCTTGGGGTGATACCTAAGGGTGGAATTCCTGGGTCCTAGGGTGGTACATACTTCACTTCGTGAGAAACTACCAGAGCAGTTTTCAGTGTTGCTTCTGGCTGCTTCCATCCTTGCCAGCATTTGGTATTGTTAATTGTCTAAATTTTAGCCATTCTAGTGGGTGTGTAGTGATATCTTATTGTGGTTTTGATTTGCATTTCCCCAGTTTCTAAAGATACTAGTCACTTTTTCGTTTGCTTATTGGTTAGTTAGTTCAGTTGCTTATTGTCCTTAGAAGAACGTTCATCTTCCCCAGGAATGTATTTTTCTTTTTGAAGTATCTAAGTCTTCTACCCACTTTTAAAAAGTTTTTTTTTTTAATTGAGTTGTAGAAGTAGTTTATATATTCTGGATACAAGTCCTTTAACAGTTATATGTGGCATGCCAATTTTATTTTTATAGTGGTCTCTTTCTTTTTAAAATTTTTCCTCATCACTCTTTCCATATGATACAATGTTCTCTTTTGATAAGCAGAAATTAAAAATTTTGAAGTCTAATTTGTGAATTTAAAGTTTTATCATTAGTACTTCCTAAGATAACCATCCAAATATCTTTCCCTTAAAAGTATAAAGTCTGAGGCTGGGCACAGTGGCTCACACCTTTAATCCCAGCACTTTGGGAGGCCGAGGCTGGCAGATCACCTGAGGTCAGGAGTTTGAGACCAGCCTGGCCAACATGGCGAAACCCTGTCTCTACTAAAAATACAAAAACTAGCTAGGCTTGGTGGCGGGCACCTGTAATCTCGGCTACTTGAGAGGCTGAGGTATGAGAATCGCTTGAACCTGGGAGGTGGAGGTTGCAATGAGCCAAGATTGCGCCACTACACTCCAGCCTGGGCAGCAGAGCAAGACTCTGTCTCAAAAAAAAAAAAAAAAAAAGTGTAAAGTCAGCTGAAGTGATATGAAAGCTTTTGTGATCGTAGACCTAAGCATTTGAATTGCAAATATAACTTGGTGTGTGAAAGCTCTGCAGTATGCATGCAGGAATTAAATGTCTGTCTGGAAATAATGCCAACAAATATATTTATTGGGGTTTGTGTGATAGAATTGGCAGATAACCAAGGAAGCAAATTTATTTTCCTTTTAAATATGAAGGAAAATTTATGAAGGAAGAGCAAATTTATTTTCCTTTCAAATACGAAAACATGAAGTAATCTTTTGTAATGTTTACTACCTACATTGATTGCCTTTCTCTGCATTAATTTCTCAAAAATTTTCTTCATTAATTTTCTTGAGCTCTTTTATCTGCTTAATGTCTTTACAAACACATGTGCAAAAGAGTCTCAGACGCATCTTATTTGATGATTGTCATGGAAAATATTAAGGGTTTGTGTACAAATGTTTATATTTATACTGCAGTGTTTTGCTTCAAGAAAAATGTATGGTCTTCTCTATGCAAGTTTTATCATTTTTGTTGTTGTTTTTATTTCCAAGTCCTTTCTGTGTTTTAATTTTAATTTTTACTTTTATTTTTGAGACAGAGTCTCGCACTGTCACCCTGGCTGGAGTGCAGTGGTGCGATCTCGGCTCACTGCAAGCTCTGCTTCCTGGGTTCAAGCAGTTCTCGTGCCTCACCTTCCCTAGTAGCTGGGATTACAGGCATGCACCACCATGCCCAGCTAATTTTTGTATTTTTAGTAGAGATGGGGTTTTACCATGTTGGCTATGCTGGTCTCTAACTCCTGACCTCACATGATCTGCGTGCCTTGCCCTCCCTAAGTGCTGGGATTACAGGCGTGAGCCACTGTGTCCAGCCAATAAATACTTTAAAAATAAATTTTCAGGCCAGGTGCGGTGGCTCATGCCTGTAATCCCAGCACTTTGGGAGGCTGAAGCGGGTAGATCATGAGGTCAAGAGATCGAGACCATCCTGGCCAATATGGTGAAACCTCGTCTCTACTAAAAATACAAAAATTAGCTAGGCATGGTGGCTGTGCACTTGTAGTCCCAGCTACTTGGGAGGCTGAGGCAGGAGAATGGCTTGAACCCAGAAGACGGAGGTTGCAGTGAGCCGAGATCACGCCACTGCACTCCAGCCTAGCGACAGAGCAAGACTCCTTCTCAAAAAAAAATTTAAAAAAATGTTTCTTTCAGCAATGTGTGGAAAATATACACAAGATATAAGACCAATAAAATGCTACTGTCTAGGAGATGAGGTGCCTCATACCTGAATCCAGCACCGAGGTGGGCGGATAACCTGAGGTCAGGAGTTTGAGACCAGCCTGGCCAGCATGGCAAAACTCCATCTCTACTAAAAATACAAAAATTAGGGGGTGGTGGCGTACACCTGTAATCCCAGCCACTTGGGAGGCTGAGGCACGAGAATGGCTTGAACTCTGAAGGCGGAGGTTGCAGTGAGCCGAGATCACACCACTGCATTCCAGCCTGGGCGACAGAGCGAGACTCCGTCTCAAAACAGAAGGGACTTGGAAATAAAAACAGCTAACAACAAAAACCCGTAACATAGTCATTTATTATCATTATCAAGTATTATGTACTGTATATAATTGTATGTACCACACTTTTATATGACTGTCAACGCATTAGGTTTATTTACACTAACATCATTGCAAACACATGGGTAAGGCATGTGTTACAACATTATGATGGCTATGACAATGTGATAGGAATTCCCCACCCTCCCACCCGAGACGGAGTCTTGCTGTGTCGCTAGGCTGGAGTGCAGTGGCATGATCTCCGCTCACTGCAACCTCCGCCTCCCGGGTAAGCGATTCTCCTGCCTTAGCCTCCTGAGTAGCTGGGATTACAGGCACGCACCACTACACCCAGCTAATTTTTGCATTTTTAGTAGAGACGGGCTTTCACCATGATGGCCAGGATGGTCTTGATCTCTTGACCTCGTGATCTGCCCGCCTCTGCCTTCCAAAGTGCTGGGATTACAGGTGTGAGCCACCATGCCTGGCCTGTGATAGGAATTTTTTAGCTCCATTGTAATGTTATGGGACCACCATGATACATGCAGTCTCTTGTTGACTGAAACGTCATGTGGTGTATATAGAATGCATTTATGACAGTAGGACTTACCCATTTTGATAGTGTTTTCATTTATTCCTTTTTCTTTTTTTTCCGAGACAGAGCTTTGCTCTGTCACCCAGGCTGGAGTGCAGTGGCGTGATCTTGGCATCCTCCAACTCCTGGGTGCAAGCGATTTTCCTGCCTCAGCCTCCCGAATAGCTGGGATTATAGGATGCCACCATGTCCAGCTAAGGTTCGTAGTTTTAGAGATGGGGTTTCACCATGTTGGTCAAACTGGTCTCAAACTCCCCCACCCCAAGTGATCTACCCACTTTGGCCTCCCAGAGTGCTGGGATTACAGGCATGAGCCACTGCACCCGACCACATTTTCATTTATTCTTTAACTTCTATTCTGGGTTGTGGTAGCATAAAGATGGATTATGTTTATTGCTGAAATAAACCTGTTGTCCAAATTTTGATGTTTTCCAGCCATTATCTTGCTACTTAGATTTATGTACAGCATTCGCAGAGCAAAAAGATAGATGATCTTATTTTTCCTGGATTCAGAGGCAGAGAGTAGTTGTTAGAATTCTAGTGTAATTGCTCATTCATTTTCTTGACTCTGACATCTTTTTTTAGAGGAAAATAACTTTGGTTAGTAAGCTCCAAATAATGGGTGAGAATGTTAAACAATTTAATCCATCCATTTGAGTTCTAGTGCGGGTCTTTTTTGCATTTTGGTGAGTCTCCTGCTTGTGTTTAGATTAGTCTGAAAACTTTGATTTGGTTTAATATTTGAGGGCTTTCAGTGTGCTTTGCTGTACAGGAAATAAATCTCTGTCATTAACTCAAAGAATACTAAACTAACAATAAGGAGGAGTAAATTACCTTGGAGGCTCTTCCCCTGTCTCATTCTCTGTGGTTCAGACTCATTAAATTAGTTTCTTCTTTTAAAATGTTTCTTCTTTT
The DNA here is from genome assembly GCF_000001405.40 of Homo sapiens. Taxonomy (NCBI): domain Eukaryota; kingdom Metazoa; phylum Chordata; class Mammalia; order Primates; family Hominidae; genus Homo; species Homo sapiens. Next base: position 48,625 of record NW_013171809.1, read on the forward strand.
AAAATTATGGAAATTAGAATTCAGTTGACGTTTGTACAAAGTGGGGTTATATCTGTGTATAAGTTTTGACACCCCCCAAATTTAACTATTAATAGCCTACTGTTGACCAGGGGCCTGATAACATAGTTGATTAACACATATTTTGTATGTTATATGTTAACATGTATTTTATGTATATACTGCATTCTTTAAAGCAAGCTAGAGAAAAGAAAATGTTATTAAGAAAATTGTCTGGGTGTGGTGCCTCATGCCTGTAATCCCAGCTCTTTGGGAGGCCGAGGCTGGTGGATCACACGGTTAAGAGATCAAGACCATCCCGGCCAATATGGTGAAACCCCGTCTCTACTAAAAATACAAACATTAGCCAGGCGTGGTGGTGCTCACCTGTAATCCCTGCTACTCTGGAGGCAGAGGCAGGAGAATCGTTTGAACCTGGGAGGCGGAGGTTGCAGTGAGCTGAGATTGTGCCATTGCACTCCAGCCTGGGCAACAAAAGTACACTCCATTGCACTCCATCTCTTGGAAACAGAGCAAGACTGTCTCAGGGGGAAAAGAAAAAAAAAGAAAATCACAAGGAAGAGAAAATACACTTACTATTCATTAAGTAGAAGTGGACCATCACGAAGATCTTCATCCTCATCATTTTTGTTTTGAGTAGGCTGAGGAAGAGGAAGAAGAAAAGGGATTGGTATTGCTGTCTCAGATTTGGCAGAGGCAGAAGAAAATCCATGTGTCAGCAGACCCTCAAAGTTCAAACCTGTGTGGTACAAGGGTCAACTGTACTTTGTTTTCATAGAGATATATTAAAGTTTTATGCGTTTAGCTCATAGTGATCTTATAGGTTCTAAGCTTCATTTGAATATATTGCATGTAAAATAAATGCTTTATCTGTGTTCCTTTTGTCTTTCTTGAATATTGTTGTTAATTTAAAATTTGTAATAGGTTATAACTCTTATGTTTTACCCATTTGTGAGCTTTATTTTTGGATAAGAACTTTATCCTGTACTTTTGCTGTGCTTTGTATAGTACAACTATGAAAGATTCTTGTTGACTGTTGATTATCTGAAAATGCTTCTTTTTGCTTCAGGTCAAATATTAAATAAACCTAGAGCATATAATTAACATTTTTATTAGGACTGTGGTTTGTATTTTGGCCAGTTTGGATTTAAGAATTACTTGTATTGGTTGGTGTAGAACTGATTTTTTTTTTTCTTTTTCTTTTTTTTTTTTTTTGGAGATGGAGTCTCACTCTGTCGCCCAGGCTGGAGTGCAGTGGCAGGATCTCAGCTCACTGCAACCTCTGCCTCCCCGGTTCTAGCAATTCTCCTGCCTCAGCCCCCTGAGTAGCTGGGATTACAGGCGTGCACCACCATGCCTGGCTAATTCCTGTATTTTTGGTAGAAACGGGGTTTCACCATGGTGGTCAGGCTGATCTTGAACTCCTGACCTTGTGATCCGCCTGCCTTGGCTTCCCAAAGTGCTGGGATTATAGGCATGAGTGATTTTTTTAGAATAAGAGTAATTGGCTGCATTATTTTTTTAAGGAAGAGGTATAACTTCCCAGATACTTGCAATGCGGCTAATATACAGTAGCCATTTACTTTCAACATAATTTCTCAACGTTTAATTTTTGTCAGTTTTTCATAAAAAATTTATGACAGGGTAAAAAGATGACATTCCTAAGTCCTAGAAAGTTTATTGATGATAAATACAAAGAATTAAATTGCAGATCAGTCTTAGAAGTGCTGTTCTGTGGATAAGCATACAGCCCTGGGCAGCACAGACGGGAACATCAGATAGCCCAACCAAACCGGAAGCTTGACTTGGTTGACTTAAGAATTCTTTAAAACTCTTTTGCATGTTACATTAATAAAGTTTATTTAATACATGTATTTATATGTTTCAGAAAAAAATGTTCTTAATTTAACATTTGTAAAAGGGTACAATACTGGTGTTTTCTCTGACTCTGATCTTCTTGATAAACAGTGTACTGAGTTCTGTGATATATTTTGTTTGTAATCATGACCATTTCACGTGTCCATAATTTTTTTTCTCTAAAAATATCTCTAGACTACATAGTTCTGTTATTTTAGGAGTGAGAATAAACGGGATCAAAGTGTACTCTTGTTCTAAGAAACTAATGACAGTTTATTTGTTGGAAGTTCTGCCTCAGAAGAGCTTCTGATATTTATCTAAAATATATGAATAGTAGTTGTGATCTGTCATTGTTTTTGCAGATATCTAATTGTTGTAATAAAAGTCATAGGCCCTGTCAGATAGTTAAGAATTTTCATTATTGTTGTTCACAATATCCTACCATTTCATTGAGATATAGCTTGGTGTAATAATAGTACAGTCCCTGGAGTAAATTTTAGACAAATACTTTCCCAGCCTTTCAAAATCAAGCTGAGTGTTAGAGTGAGAAGTAGACTAGTGAGTGTTGCTATAAAATTTGGAGTGTGAGATCATTTTGCAGTGTGTCGGGAACAGACTTCCCAAATAGACATTCTAGTATTATCTTACAACTCGATCTTTCCTTAAACTCAATGTATCTGTTTTTGGTTGATCATTATAGATGTCTGTGATGTGTGAATATGCCCATTTTATCTTCTGTATGAATATGCTGGAGAAAGAGTAGCCTTGCTTGTAGTCTGCTTTTTTCCTTCTTCTAAAGGAGTTGGCAGGAATTTTTATAAAATAAAGCTAGCCTGATTGTAGCCAAAAGAGGAAATGTTGGTTTATATTTTAGTGGAGAAAACTGCTGTATAGACTTCTAGGCTACCAAGTCAGAGCATTGTTTTATTTTTATACTATAGTAAAATGGGTGCAGGCGGAGCTGAAGAACCAGACACACTAGTAGTTAATGTTTTCTTTCTTTACCAAAATAGTAATTGCCATGCTACATTTAGCCATATGTGCCAAAGCGTATGTGAAACTGTTAACTGTAGCCAACATATATTTCTCCTGACTTGAATGAATTGATGACGAATGGTCAGAAAAGGAGGAACAGTCATACCTAGAAATCAGCTTCCCTGTTGAATTTCACTTCTGGTATTTCCCTTTGGGATATATTCACTCAGGAGTGTCAGGATTTTTTTTGACTTCCAAGGGAAAGAAACTAGGCTTCAGAGAATTAGCATTTTGATACATCTTTTTATTGAAGGTCTTTTGAACTCCAGCAACTGTTAATCTTTAAAAGATCATGCTGGTAGTGAAATGCATTTTAAAATTTATATTCATGAATTTAAATTCCTGATTTTTTTTTTTTTTGGTGAGTTTATTCTTCGAAAGAAATAGCAGTGCTTTTCAAGTGTTTGAAGACTACCAGAATTGAAAGCTCACTGCTTGCTAAAAGCATAATACCCAAACCGGAAATGATAAAGGAAAATGTCATTGTCTTTGTATTAAAAAAGAAAATATCTATTAAAAGTCATCATAAACAATGTTAAAAAGAAAAATGGCAGACTTGGAAAAATATTTGTAACATACACAGCAGGTGAAAGGTTATTTTCCTAATATGAAGAGCTCTTAAAATGGATTAAGAAAAAATGTTCAATAACAAAATGGGCAAAGAACAAGGAGAGAGGAGTCACAAAAGTTGATATACAAAGACACAGATAGAAATGATTTGTAATATGACAAAAGTCGATATACAAAGATACATATAGAAATGATTTGTAATATGACAAAAGTCGATATACAAAGATACAGATAGAAATGATTTGTAATATGACAAAAGTCAATATACAAAGATACAGATAGAAATGATTTGTAATATGACAAGTCGATATACAGAGATACAGATAGAAATGATTTGTAATATGACAAGTCGATATACAGAGATACATATAGAAATGATTTGTAATATGACAAAAGTCGATATACAGAGATACATATAGAAATGATTTGTAATATGACAAAAGTCGATATACAGAGATACAGATAGAAATGATTTGTAATATGACAAAAGTCGATATACAGAGATACAGATAGAAATGATTTGTAATAAGACAAAAGTCGATATACAGAGATACAGATAGAAATGATTTGTAATACGACAAGTCGATATACAGAGATACATATAGTAATGATTTGTAATATGACAAAAGTCGATATACAGAGATACAGATAGAAATGATTTGTAATATGACAAAAGTCGATATACAGAGATACAGATAGAAATGATTTGTAATATGACAAAAGTCGATATACAGAGATACAGATAGAAATGATTTGTAATATGACAAAAGTCGATATACAGAGATACAGATAGAAATGATTTGTAATATGACAAAAGTCGATATACAGAGATACAGATAGAAATGATTTGTAATATGACAAAAGTCGATATACAGAGATACAGATAGAAATGATTTGTAATATGACAAAAGTCGATATACAGAGATACAGATAGAAATGATTTGTAATATGACAAAAGTCGATATACAGAGATACAGATAGAAATGATTTGTAATATGACAAAAGTCGATATACAGAGATATAGACAGAAATGATTTGTAATATGACAAAAGTCGATATACAGAGATACAGATAGAAATGATTTGTAATATGACAAAAGTCGATATACAGAGATACAGATAGAAATGATTTGTAATATGACAAAAGTCGATATACAGAGATACAGATAGAAATGATTTGTAATATGACAAAAGTTGATATACAAAGATACATATAGAAATGATTTGTAATATGTATCAGAATTACAATTGTACATACTTTGTGATCCAGCAATTCCATCTTTGAGAGTTCCCAAGAAAAATGTGGATTCATGTGTAAAGATACATATGTGAAGGTGCATCTTACAATAGTGAAAAATGAGAACTAACCTAAAATATCCGTAAGTGGAATTTTATGACCAACATCTTCTCTCCAACCAATTTTTTTATTATGGTAAAATATATATAACATAAAATTTACCATCTTAACCATTTCGAAGTGTACAGTTTAGTGGCATTCAGTATATCCCATCTATCTCCAGAACTCTTTTCATCTTGACAGACTGAAACTGTATACCCATTAAACAATAACTCCTCGTTCTGTCCCACTCCTATGTCCTGGCAACCACTGTTCTAGTTCCTTCTTTATCAATTCGACTGCTCTAGATACCTCATGTCAATGGATACATATAGTGTTTGTCTTTTTGTGATTGGCTTATTTCACTTAGCACAACGTCTTGAAGGTTCATCTGTGTTGTAGCATGTGTAAGAATTTCTTTCCTTTTTAAGGCTGAAAATCATTAGCAGGTGATATGGTTTGGCTGTGTCTCCATTCAAATCTCAACTGGAATTGTATCTCTCAGAATTCCCACATGTTGTGGGAGGGCCATAGGAGGAGGTAATTGAATCATGGGGGCCAGTCTTTCCCATGCTATTCTCGTGATAGTGAGTAAGTCTCACGAGATCTGATGGGTTTATCAGGGGGTTCCGCTTTTGCTTCTTCCTGATTTTCTCTTGCTGCCGCCATGTAAGAAGTGCCTTTTGCCTCATACCGTGATTCTGAGGCTTCCTCAGCCATGTGGAACTGTAAGTCCAATTAAACAAGTGCCTTTTGCCTCATACCGTGATTCTGAGGCTTCCTTAGCCACGTGGATCTGTAAGTCCAATTAAACCTCTTTTTGTTTCCAGTTTTGGGTATGTCTTTATCAGCAGCGTGAAAACGAACTAATAGAGCAGCCACCTTATTTCCAAAAAAAAAAAAAGATTTTTTCAATGGATAATGCAGGTATTTATACCCTTATTTAAAGTATGAGGGATCTGAAACCCAGAAAGATGGTGACATGTCTAAATGTCATAACTAGTCAGCGTGAGAGTCAGAACTGAAACTCATGTTTTCTCATCACAGTTTCGTGTTCTTCCCAGTATGGTACACTGCTTAGGCCTTGAATACAAGGAATGATCTTTTATTGTTGCTTCTTCATTCCTAAAAATAAGATTTTTGATGTCACAGCCTTTTGGAATTCATTGTATAATGTGCTGGAATTTACATAACCATTCAGATTAAAGGTTCGTGTACCTTCTTTAGGGATAGAAGCTAAAGATCTACCCTCTCAAACATTTTAGTAGTTCATCTGCATTAACACCTTTATTTAATTAGCCACCCATGTTGTTACCGTCCCCTGTATAAAAAGCTTTGCATATTCTAACTTAAAAAAACTTTGCTATATTATTATCTTTGGGTATTACCAGTTTTGATTTCTGCAATCTGCTCTGTTTTTGCTACTAGAGGAGGAAAGCTGATTTGGAGTTTTCTTTTTTTCTTGGTTCTAGTTTTAGTGGGCTGCAAGGATTGCTTTGAATGCCAGCTCTATCACTTACTCTGTGATCTTGGACAAGTGCTTAAACCTCTCTAAGCCTCGTGCCCTCATTTATAAAATTAAATAATAGTACATGTGTTGGGTATCTAAAATAGTCAAATTCACAGAATCAAAGTGTGTAATGGTAGTTGCCGGGGGTAGGGGGAAATGGAGAGTTACTAATCAACAGGAATATAAACTTTTGGTTGAGATGAATAAACTCTACAGATTTGATGTATAACATTGTACCTGTAGTCAGCAGTAATGCATTGTACACTTAAAAGTTGTTAGGAAAGTAGATGTCATGTTAAGGGTTTTTACTACAGTAAAATAAAAAAAGAGTCCATGTGTCATAATGAAGATTAAATAACATAAAAAATGTGTGGTACAATCTGGCATATACAAACTACTTGTTAAATGTTAATATTTATTATTTAATGTTTATAATACTTAAAAGTCATTTTGTATTTCGCTGTCCTTCGGTTTTGCTTGTTTGTTTGTTTGTTTTGACACGGAGCCTTGCTCTGTCACCCAGGCTGGAGTGCAGTGGTGTGATCTTGGCTTACTGCAAACTCCACCTCCCAGTTCAAGCAATTCTTCTGCCTCAGCCTCCTGAGTAGCTGGGATTACAGGTTCGTGCCACCATGCCTGGCTAATTTTTCTATTTTTAGTGGAGACGGGGTTTTACCACGTTGGCCAGGCTGGTCTTGAACTCCTGACCTCGTGATGTGCCCGACTCGGCCTCCCAAAGTGCTAGGATTACAGGCGTGAACCACCGTGCCTGGCCAATTTTTGTATTTTTAGTAGAGATGGGGTTTTATCATGTTGGCCAGGCTGGTCTTGAACTCCTGGTGATCCGCCTGCCTCGGCCTCCCAAAGTGCTGGGATTATAGGTGTGAGCCCCCGCGCCTGGCCATCCTTTGTATTTTTTGATGAAAAAAAAAAATTTTTTTTTTTTTTTTTTTTTTAAGACAGAGTTTCACTCTTGTTGCCCAGGCTGGAGTGCAATGAGTGCAGTCTTGGCTCACTGCAATTCCCACCTCTCAAGTTCAAGCGATTCTCCTGTCTCAGCCTCCCGAGTAGCTCAGATTACAGGCACACGCCACCACGCCCGGCTAACTTTTGTATTTTAGTAGAGACAGGGTTTCATCATATTGGTCAGACTGGTCTTGAACTCCTGACCTCAGCTGATTTGCCCACCTTGGCCTCCCAAAGTGCTGGAATTACACAGGTGTGAGCCACCACGCCCGGCTGTTTTGATGAAATTTTTTGAAAGAATGTATTCATATTCCTGTAGATTTCCCATTTCCCACATTCCCTCAAATTTAGTTTCCGTGTTAATATCTTCTATTAATTTTGAACAGTGTCTTTATTGTAGTTTATGCAAAGTGAGGAGTGAGTGCCATACTTATTTTGCTTCCTGTTGAGAATAAACTGAAGTTAAATTACTGACATTTTGCATATTATCTCAATCATTTTTTAAGGACCTGTAAAACAGAATAAGGTGAATCCTAATTTGCTAGATGCAGATTTCTTGTAGCTATTTTTGATTCCTGCAGGCTGCTCTGATTTGCTACTTGAGGAGGAAAGCTGATTTGGGGGTTTTCTTTTTGTCTTGGTTCTAGCACATGCAGATGACAATCCAGGCTCTCCAGGATGAATTGCGGATCCAGAGGGACCTGAATCAGCTGTTTCAGCAGGATAGTAGCAGCAGGACTGGCGAACCTTGTGTAGCAGAGCTGACAGAGGAGAACTTTCAGAGGCTTCATGCTGAGCATGAGCGGCAGGCCAAAGAGCTGTTTCTTCTTCGAAAGACATTGGAGGAAATGGAGCTGCGTATTGAGACTCAAAAGCAGACCCTAAATGCTCGGGATGAATCCATTAAGAAGCTTCTGGAAATGTTGCAGAGCAAAGGACTTTCTGCCAAGGCTACCGAGGAAGACCATGAGAGAACAAGACGACTGGCAGAGGCAGAGATGCACGTTCATCACCTAGAAAGCCTTTTGGAGCAGAAGGAAAAAGAGAACAGTATGTTGAGAGAGGTATGTGACTACTTTTTTAGTTTTATGATTTGTTGGTTATCTTTTTTTTCACTGATTAATCAGCATCTTGGCCCCAGTGAATCTACGTGCTCTGCCGTGCTGGTGGAAGAGAATTTCATCCTTTGTATTTAAGTGCGTCACTGATTTCTGTTCTGATTTGCCCTGTTGTATGGGATGACATTGTCTGGTATGTATGCTGGCTCAGTGACTTTCTGGGTCTTTTCTCTCCTGCTCCCCTGATTTTGAGAGTTCATTTGTTGCTAAAGGGGTAAAAAATTCCTTGATTTTTCACTCATCTCTAGATCTGTTCATAGAGACAACAAACACAACAAAACCAGAATCAGAATAGCTAACCATTGCTTAATTTAAAAATATTAGTAAAAGAGAGTAAGCGGTTATCTCAGCTTATGTGTGCTTATAAAAGTCCTTGGCAGCAATAATGGATATTTGCCCTGTGGTTTCCATGGAAACTGTTGCCTTGCTGTAAAAGATACGTGATAAAAATCATTGGCTGCCATGGAGGCATAGCTGGAGAGAGTGATGTAGAGACACAGTGTTACTTATTTTTAGCTGACCTAGGTGACTACTGATAATTTTTTACTTTTCTAAATAATGTATCATTTTAAGAAGGCGTAAAGGAAGAAACCATCTTATATTGAATTAAAAAATTAATAGCCATAATAACTTTTCTATATATAGTTGGACTTCAGGTAATTTTCACTTTTGGGCAGGGGAAAATAAATCCCTAATCTGTGTTAGTATGAGTCTGAATAATTCCTTTTTAAATAAAATGTGAGGAAGGAGGTTTAAAAAATGGCGTATTCCCAAAGCAGCAAAATAATAATTTTTAAAAATACTTCTAAATTTGTAGGTTGTTCTATAATTTTTCCTTTTGTAAAAAGTCTGAAATCTTTTTTAACAGTGAGGGCATTTTTATTTTTGAAGTAGAACATCATTGTTTTTTAAAAACATGATGTTATTACACTGGAAATCCATTGTAGTAAAATTGGGAAATAGATTAACAAAAACTTATAACTCAAAGTATTGTTACCTAGTAGTAATTATTAACTTATGTATATGCTTCCAGTCATTTTTTTTTTATTTTAAATTTTTATTGTTTTTATTTTTAGAGATAGGGTCTCACTCTGTCACTCAGGCTGGAGTGCAGTGGCATGATCATGGCTCACTGCAGCCTTGAAATCCTGGGCTTAGGTGAGCCTTCTGCCTTAGCCTCCCTAGTAGGTAGGTCTACAGGTGCATGCCACCATGCATTGTTAATTTTTAAATTAAAAAAAAAATTTTGTAGAGACAGAGTCTCCCTATGTTGCCTAGGCTGGTCTTGAACTCCTGGCCTCAAGCAATCCTCCCTCCTTGGCTTCTGAAAGTGCTGACATTACAGGCAATATGCCTATGCCTGGCCCATTATTATTATTGTTGTTGTTGTTGTTGAAAGTGCTGAGATTACAGGCAATATGCCTATGCCTGGCCCATTATTATTATTATTGTTGTTGTTGTTGAAAGTGCTGAGATTACAGGCAATATGCCTATGCCTGGCCCATTATTATTATTATTGTTGTTGTTGTTGAAAGTGCTGAGATTACAGGCAATATGCCTATGCCTGGCCCATTATTATTATTATTGTTGTTGTTGAAAGTGCTGCGATTACAGGCAATATGCCTATGCCTGGCCCGTTATTATTATTATTGTTGTTGTTGTTGAAAGTGCTGAGATTACAGGCAATATGCCTATGCCTGGCCCATTATTATTATTATTGTTGTTGTTGTTGAAAGTGCTGAGATTACAGGCAATATGCCTATGCCTGGCCCATTATTATTATTATTGTTGTTGTTGAAAGTGCTGAGATTACAGGCAATATGCCTATGCCTGGCCCATTATTATTATTATTATTGTTGTTGTTGTTGAAAGTGCTGAGATTACAGGCAATATGCCTATGCCTGGCCCGTTATTATTATTATTGTTGTTGTTGTTGAAAGTGCTGAGATTACAGGCAATATGCCTATGCCTGGCCCATTATTATTATTATTGTTGTTGTTGTTGAAAGTGCTGAGATTACAGGCAATATGCCTATGCCTGGCCCATTATTATTATTGTTGTTTGTTGTTGTTGAAAGTGCTGAGATTACAGGCAATATGCCTATGCCTGGCCCATTATTATTATTATTGTTGTTGTTGTTGAAAGTGCTGAGATTACAGGCAATATGCCTATGCCTGGCCCATTATTATTATTATTGTTGTTGTTGTTGAAAGTGCTGAGATTACAGGCAATATGCCTATGCCTGGCCCATTATTATTATTATTGTTGTTGTTGAAAGTGCTGAGATTACAGGCAATATGCCTATGCCTGGCCCATTATTATTATTATTGTTGTTGTTGAAAGTGCTGAGATTACAGGCAATATGCCTATGCCTGGCCCATTATTATTATTATTGTTGTTGTTGAAAGTGCTGAGATTACAGGCAATATGCCTATGCCTGGCCCATTATTATTATTATTGTTGTTGTTGAAAGTGCTGAGATTACAGGCAATATGCCTATGCCTGGCCCATTATTATTATTATTGTTGTTGTTGAAAGTGCTGAGATTACAGGCAATATGCCTATGCCTGGCCCATTATTATTATTATTGTTGTTGTTGAAAGTGCTGAGATTACAGGCAATATGCCTATGCCTGGCCCGTTATTATTATTATTGTTGTTGTTGAAAGTGCTGAGATTACAGGCAATATGCCTATGCCTGGCCCGTTATTATTATTATTGTTGTTGTTGAAAGTGCTGAGATTACAGGCAATATGCCTATGCCTGGCCCGTTATTATTATTATTGTTGTTGTTGAAAGTGCTGAGATTACAGGCAATATGCCTATGCCTGGCCCATTATTATTATTATTGTTGTTGTTGAAAGTGCTGAGATTACAGGCAATATGCCTATGCCTGGCCCGTTATTATTATTATTGTTGTTGTTGAAAGTGCTGAGATTACAGGCAATATGCCTATGCCTGGCCCATTATTATTATTATTGTTGTTGTTGAAAGTGCTGAGATTACAGGCAATATGCCTATGCCTGGCCCATTATTATTATTATTGTTGTTGTTGAAAGTGCTGAGATTACAGGCAATATGCCTATGCCTGGCCCATTATTATTATTATTGTTGTTGTTGAAAGTGCTGAGATTACAGGCAATATGCCTATGCCTGGCCCATTATTATTATTATTGTTGTTGTTGAAAGTGCTGAGATTACAGGCAATATGCCTATGCCTGGCCCATTATTATTATTATTGTTGTTGTTGAAAGTGCTGAGATTACAGGCAATATGCCTATGCCTGGCCCATTATTATTATTATTATTGTTGTTGTTGAAAGTGCTGAGATTACAGGCAATATGCCTATGCCTGGCCCATTATTATTATTATTGTTGTTGTTGAAAGTGCTGAGATTACAGGCAATATGCCTATGCCTGGCCCATTATTATTATTATTGTTGTTGTTGAAAGTGCTGAGATTACAGGCAATATGCCTATGCCTGGCCCATTATTATTATTATTGTTGTTGTTGAAAGTGCTGAGATTACAGGCAATATGCCTATGCCTGGCCCATTATTATTATTATTGTTGTTGTTGAAAGTGCTGAGATTACAGGCAATATGCCTATGCCTGGCCCATTATTATTATTATTGTTGTTGTTGAAAGTGCTGAGATTACAGGCAATATGCCTATGCCTGGCCCGTTATTATTATTATTGTTGTTGTTGAAAGTGCTGAGATTACAGGCAATATGCCTATGCCTGGCCCGTTATTATTATTATTGTTGTTGTTGAAAGTGCTGAGATTACAGGCAATATGCCTATGCCTGGCCCATTATTATTATTGTTGTTGTTGTTGAAAGTGCTGAGATTACAGGCAATATGCCTATGCCTGGCCCGTTATTATTATTATTGTTGTTGTTGAAAGTGCTGAGATTACAGGCAATATGCCTATGCCTGGCCCATTATTATTATTATTGTTGTTGTTGAAAGTGCTGAGATTACAGGCAATATGCCTATGCCTGGCCCATTATTATTATTATTGTTGTTGTTGAAAGTGCTGAGATTACAGGCAATATGCCTATGCCTGGCCCATTATTATTATTATTGTTGTTGTTGAAAGTGCTGAGATTACAGGCAATATGCCTATGCCTGGCCCATTATTATTATTATTGTTGTTGTTGTTGAAAGTGCTGAGATTACAGGCAATATGCCTATGCCTGGCCCGTTATTATTATTATTGTTGTTGTTGAAAGTGCTGAGATTACAGGCAATATGCCTATGCCTGGCCCGTTATTATTATTATTGTTGTTGTTGAAAGTGCTGAGATTACAGGCAATATGCCTATGCCTGGCCCATTATTATTATTGTTGTTGTTGTTGAAAGTGCTGAGATTACAGGCAATATGCCTATGCCTGGCCCGTTATTATTATTGTTGTTGTTGTTGAAAGTGCTGAGATTACAGGCAATATGCCTATGCCTGGCCCATTATTATTATTATTGTTGTTGTTGAAAGTGCTGAGATTACAGGCAATATGCCTATGCCTGGCCCATTATTATTATTATTGTTGTTGTTGAAAGTGCTGAGATTACAGGCAATATGCCTATGCCTGGCCCATTATTATTATTATTGTTGTTGTTGAAAGTGCTGAGATTACAGGCAATATGCCTATGCCTGGCCCATTATTATTATTATTGTTGTTGTTGAAAGTGCTGAGATTACAGGCAATATGCCTATGCCTGGCCCATTATTATTATTATTGTTGTTGTTGAAAGTGCTGAGATTACAGGCAATATGCCTATGCCTGGCCCATTATTATTATTATTGTTGTTGTTGAAAGTGCTGAGATTACAGGCAATATGCCTATGCCTGGCCCGTTATTATTATTATTGTTGTTGTTGAAAGTGCTGAGATTACAGGCAATATGCCTATGCCTGGCCCGTTATTATTATTATTGTTGTTGTTGAAAGTGCTGAGATTACAGGCAATATGCCTATGCCTGGCCCGTTATTATTATTATTGTTGTTGTTGAAAGTGCTGAGATTACAGGCAATATGCCTATGCCTGGCCCGTTATTATTATTATTGTTGTTGTTGAAAGTGCTGAGATTACAGGCAATATGCCTATGCCTGGCCCGTTATTATTATTATTGTTGTTGTTGAAAGTGCTGAGATTACAGGCAATATGCCTATGCCTGGCCCGTTATTATTATTATTGTTGTTGTTGAAAGTGCTGAGATTACAGGCAATATGCCTATGCCTGGCCCGTTATTATTATTATTGTTGTTGTTGAAAGTGCTGAGATTACAGGCAATATGCCTATGCCTGGCCCATTATTATTATTATTGTTGTTGTTGAAAGTGCTGAGATTACAGGCAATATGCCTATGCCTGGCCCATTATTATTATTATTGTTGTTGTTGAAAGTGCTGAGATTACAGGCAATATGCCTATGCCTGGCCCATTATTATTATTATTATTGTTGTTGTTGAAAGTGCTGAGATTACAGGCAATATGCCTATGCCTGGCCCATTATTATTATTATTGTTGTTGTTGAAAGTGCTGAGATTACAGGCAATATGCCTATGCCTGGCCCATTATTATTATTATTGTTGTTGTTGAAAGTGCTGAGATTACAGGCAATATGCCTATGCCTGGCCCATTATTATTATTATTGTTGTTGTTGAAAGTGCTGAGATTACAGGCAATATGCCTATGCCTGGCCCATTATTATTATTATTGTTGTTGTTGAAAGTGCTGAGATTACAGGCAATATGCCTATGCCTGGCCCATTATTATTATTATTGTTGTTGTTGAAAGTGCTGAGATTACAGGCAATATGCCTATGCCTGGCCCGTTATTATTATTATTGTTGTTGTTGAAAGTGCTGAGATTACAGGCAATATGCCTATGCCTGGCCCGTTATTATTATTATTGTTGTTGTTGAAAGTGCTGAGATTACAGGCAATATGCCTATGCCTGGCCCGTTATTATTATTATTGTTGTTGTTGAAAGTGCTGAGATTACAGGCAATATGCCTATGCCTGGCCCATTATTATTATTATTGTTGTTGTTGAAAGTGCTGAGATTACAGGCAATATGCCTATGCCTGGCCCATTATTATTATTGTTGTTGTTGTTGAAAGTGCTGAGATTACAGGCAATATGCCTATGCCTGGCCCGTTATTATTATTATTGTTGTTGTTGAAAGTGCTGAGATTACAGGCAATATGCCTATGCCTGGCCCATTATTATTATTATTGTTGTTGTTGAAAGTGCTGAGATTACAGGCAATATGCCTATGCCTGGCCCATTATTATTATTATTGTTGTTGTTGAAAGTGCTGAGATTACAGGCAATATGCCTATGCCTGGCCCATTATTATTATTATTGTTGTTGTTGAAAGTGCTGAGATTACAGGCAATATGCCTATGCCTGGCCCATTATTATTATTATTGTTGTTGTTGAAAGTGCTGAGATTACAGGCAATATGCCTATGCCTGGCCCATTATTATTATTATTGTTGTTGTTGAAAGTGCTGAGATTACAGGCAATATGCCTATGCCTGGCCCATTATTATTATTATTGTTGTTGTTGAAAGTGCTGAGATTACAGGCAATATGCCTATGCCTGGCCCGTTATTATTATTATTGTTGTTGTTGAAAGTGCTGAGATTACAGGCAATATGCCTATGCCTGGCCCGTTATTATTATTATTGTTGTTGTTGAAAGTGCTGAGATTACAGGCAATATGCCTATGCCTGGCCCATTATTATTATTGTTGTTGTTGTTGAAAGTGCTGAGATTACAGGCAATATGCCTATGCCTGGCCCGTTATTATTATTATTGTTGTTGTTGAAAGTGCTGAGATTACAGGCAATATGCCTATGCCTGGCCCATTATTATTATTATTGTTGTTGTTGAAAGTGCTGAGATTACAGGCAATATGCCTATGCCTGGCCCATTATTATTATTATTGTTGTTGTTGAAAGTGCTGAGATTACAGGCAATATGCCTATGCCTGGCCCATTATTATTATTATTGTTGTTGTTGAAAGTGCTGAGATTACAGGCAATATGCCTATGCCTGGCCCATTATTATTATTATTGTTGTTGTTGAAAGTGCTGAGATTACAGGCAATATGCCTGTGCCTGGCCCATTATTATTATTATTGTTGTTGTTGAAAGTGCTGAGATTACAGGCAATATGCCTATGCCTGGCCCATTATTATTATTATTGTTGTTGTTGTTGTTGTTGTTATTATTATTATTATTATTATTATTATTATTATTATTATTATTATCATTTGTGACAGAGCTTTGCTCTGTCCCAGGCTGGAGTGCAGTGGCGCAATCTTGGCTCATTGTAACCTCCACCTCCCGGGTTCAAGCTATTCTCCTGCCTCAGCTTCCTGAGTAGCTGGGACAACAGGCGTGCACAAGCTAATTTTTGTATTTTTAGTAGAGATGGGGTTTCGCCATGTTGGCCAGGCTGGTCTCAAACTCCTGACCTCAGGTGATCTGCCTGACTCGGCCTCCCAGAGTGCTGGGATTACAGGCGTAAGCTACTGCACCCAGCCCCATTTTTATTATTTATAGATTCCTTCATTATTTGTTTCTTTTTTTATCTTACAAGGATGGAATGCTGTGCATCAGCACTGTTCAGAAAGACTTTCTGGGTGGAGTGCTAATTAAGTTGGGAAGGGGATTTTATAACAGGGTAAGTGTCCTTTAGTAGGTACCCTTTCAGTGGAGATCTGAAGAGAAGAAGCCAGCTTTGCCAAGTAAAATAATTTCATGAAGAAGCATTAACAGTTTTAAAGACCTCATAGGAAGGAGTTTTGAGGAAACAGGAGGGAGGCTGGAGGGCAAGAATATACTGTATAAGGGGAAGACTTAATGAGATGCGAAATTGGAGAGGTGGCCAGAGTCAGATTCACTTATCACGTATTTACTGGACACCAACCATGCGCACAGCACTAAGGATATAGCAGCAAACAAATCCATGCTGTCTTTGAGAAAAAGTACCTGCCTTTATGATCCTTGCAGATAATGCAACCATTTTATTCAAAATGGGAGAGAAAACCATTCCACCGTTGAATCAAGGGAGTGACACAATCTGATTTGCTTTTAAAATTTACTCTGGTTGTGCTGAGAATAAATGGAGGAAGGAGAGAAGAGTGAACAAGGGAGTATAGTAAGGAATTTAACTGCTGTAATCTAGATTAGGGGAATGGGGACTTGAAATGATTGCTGGAGATGTACAGAATATCACTAGCGTATCAGGAAGCAGCACAAAGAATTATGGGCTGGCAATGCTAGGGTATCCAGAAATTTCATTAGTTATTGAATTATTGTCCATCTTTTAAAAAAAAGTGGCATTTAATCAATTCTTTTTTTTTTTTTTTGAGACGGAGTCTCGCTCTGTTGCCCAGGCTGGAGTGCAATGGTGCGATCTCGGCTCACTGCAACCTGCGCCCCCTGGGTTCAAGCGATTCTCCTGCTTCAGCCTCCCGAGTAGCTGGGATTACAGGCACCCATCACCAGGCCCAGCTAATTTTTCTGTTTTTAGTAGAGACGAGGTTTCACCATGTTGGTCAGGCTGGTCTTGAACTCCTGACCTCGTGATCCGCCCGCCTCGGCCTCCTAATATGCTGGGATTATAGGCGTGAGCCACCGCGCCCGGCCCACATTTAATCAATTCTAAAAGTCACAACTTTCCCTGTTTTAACAATGAAATTGAGTTAAGTGTTAACACTTGGTGTCATGTTAACAGTCTATATCAGCAAAGCAGCAGTCCTGGTATATTTGTTTGCCCGTGTATTCACAAATATAATCATGTCCATTCATTTTGTCATCATTTCAGCTGAGGTATGAGCATTGTTGGCATTTCCCATGTTAACTTTGTTGTTCAGTGTTTCTGCATAAATATTCTGTGAATCAGCATTGAAACAAAATTACCCGGTATGGAGAAAGTTATGAAAACAGTTTATGATGGTATGTGATTAAACTCTGTTTAAATAAGTTTAAAAAAACTAACTCTTGCAATCAGTATTAAGTAAAAATTCTAGGGCGGGTGCAATGGCTCACGTCTGTAATCCCAGCACTTTGGGAGGCCAAGGCGGGCGGATCGCCTGAGGCCAGGAGTTCGAGACCAGCCTGGGCAATATGGCAAAACCCTGTCTCTACTAAAAATACAAAAATTAGCTGAGTGTGGTGGTGCACGCCTGTAATCCCAGCTCTTTGTGAGGCTGGCACATGGTAATTGCTTCAACCCAGGAGGCGGAGGTTGCAGTGAGCCAGGATTGCACCACTGCACTCCAGCGTGCAGAGTGACACTCTGCCTCAAAAACAAACAAACAAAACCCTAAATTTATGATAAAGTTTTGTGTCATGATTTATTTGGAGGCATTTCCACTATTTCTTTTCAGCATGTACAACAGTGGTGTGTCTTATAATCAGTGGCATCTTAGATTTGATGAAATAAGATAGCATTAAAATGGCATTTGTAGCTATTAGTAGTAACATTTGTAATTAGTTTTACGTTTTCTTTATTAACATGATTTTGTAGCTGGCAGGTAAATAATTCTCCCCCCCAAAAGCCGAGAGGTAAAAAGTAAGATTTCAATGAAGCATTGTATTTTCTGTTTGTACTCAAATCACATTGTTGTTTGACCGCTTATTCTTAGCTTTTGTATTATTTCGCTGTAGCTCCTTTCATTTGACTGTTAGAAGAGTGGGGACATCTCTTGGACAAATGCTGAATTACAGGCAAGACTTGGTTAGTGCTGAGGGCTTGACAGGTGATTCTGTTATACACCAACATTTGAGGCCCCAACTTTGGTTTTCAGTCCGCTAGCAGAGGATACCTAAGTTGGCTGTGGAATTTTTGGGTCTTCAATCCATATGCATACCAAACATTGTCTATAGGCCAACTAAATAATATATTTCAGTATGTGCTCCTACTTACTTAAATGCTGGTATGCTATTGTGATTAATAAAATACAACTTTGTTTTAAAACATTATTGCAGCCTACTAGTTTTTTGTCTGTATTTTAATCAACAAACCGTATTAGTACAACTGCTATCGTGTTAGGTTTGCAAAAATCTTTGAGGTTAAAAGTGCTAATATTTGAATATGTTCTAGGCTAGGGAATTCTGAATCTAACTAGCATATCTGAGGACTGCTTGTCAGTTTGTCAGTATTACTGGCAGATAGAAGGTATAAGCAGAGGAGATTAAAGAAAAAAAGAAACATATATATATGTTTATGTGTATTTATTTATATATAAATATATATTTTTCTATATATAAATGTATATTTTTCTATATAAATATATATATTTTTCTATATATATATATATATATATATATATAGAAAAACATAGAAAATGAATAGGAATTTAAAAAGAAATTTTTTTTTTTTTTGAGACATAGTGTGGCTCTGTCGCCCAGGCTGGGGTGCAGTGGTGCAATCTCAGCTCACCGCAACCTCCGCGTCCCGGGTTCAAGCAATTCTTCTGCCTCGGCCTCCTGAGTAGCTGGGACTACAGGTGCCTGCCACCATGCCTGGCTAATTTTTGTATTTTTAATAGAGATGAGGTTTCACCTTGTTGGCCAGGCTGGTCTCAAACTCTTGACCTCAAGTGATCCTCCCGGCTCGGCCTCCCAAAGTGCTGGGACAACAGGCATGAGCCACCACACCCGGCCAAAAAAGAAAAAGAAATTCTTAGTTTGTCTTTTGTAGCAATTTTGGAAGATGAGAACAGTTGCATACCTTATTTATTTAAGTTATTCCTTCTCTCTCTTTTTTTTTTTTGGCAACAGAGTCTCGCTCTATCGCCCAGGCTGGAGTGCAGTGGTGCGATCTCAGCTCACCTCAACCTCCGCCACCTGGGTTCAAGTGATTCTCCTGCCTCAGCCTCCCAAATAGCTGGGATTACAGACGTGTGCCACCACACCTGGGCTAATTTTGTATTTTTAGTAGAAATGGGGTTTCACTGTATTGGTCAGGCTGGTCTCGAACTCCTGACCTCAAGTGATTCGCTGGTCTTGGCTTCCCAAATGCTAGGATTACGGACGTGAGCCACCGTGCCTGGCCCTTCCTCTCCTTTTTAAATTACATCATTTGTCCTTCATTTCCATTTTGACAAGGTGACATTTTCTGAGCACACTACTATTACCAGAGATGGTAATGGGTTCAGGTACAATGGTGTGTGACACTGGGCAAGTTAAGATACGAAAAAGTGGTAACAGTTCTTTCCATTTACCCTCCCTTCTTTTTTATTTCTGTCTCCGCTGTGTTGTCAGTATGATAAATTCAGAAATTGAATCTGTGAAGGGACTTCCCGAACAATGTGGAGCTTCTATCCTTGAACCAAGGGTGCTGAGGGCTAAGACTTGAAACTTGAAAAAAAATTTTCAGACCTAAGTTTTACTTTTTAGTCACACATACTTCTTTCTCTCAGGTGTGCAAGTAAAAGTTGACTTACTTTTACAAAGAAACAACTAGGGAAAAGGAGAATTATTAAATTTTGTTTCTCAGGCGTGGTGGCTCATACCTGTAATCCCAGCACTTTGGGAGGCTTAGGTGGGCAGATCACTTGAGGTCAGGAGTTCAAGATCAGCCTGGCCAACATGCTGAAATGCCGTCTCTACTAAAAATACAAATATTAGCCAGGCATGGTGGTGCATGCCTGCGGTCCTAGCTATTTGGGAGGCTGAGGCAGGAGAATCGCTTGAACTCGGGAGGTGGAGGTTGCAGTGAGCCGAGATTGTGCCACTGCACCAAAAAAAAAAAAAAAATTGTTTCTAACTTGTTTATTTTCTAAATATAAATTAGTCATTATTCTTTAGTTATTTAAGGAGAGAAAATGAACATATTTTTTATGGTCTACCACATTTGAAAGTATATTATAGCAACATTAAATGGACTAAGACAAAAAAAGACAAATAGACTATATAACAAGATTCAGATACTTCTACCTCTAATTTTTTCAAATGAAAATTTTCAGCCAAAAAGGAGTGAAATAAAGTGACCAAATAGCATATTCTACTTCTTACACTTCTTTGAATAGTACTTCTATTTCCAGTCTTCTCTCTCTATTGACAATGCGGGAGGCATAGGCTTGATGTGCTTGGTGGGAAAGGGGAGCTTATGAGCTCACTGACTGGAAGATGTGTTCATAGTGAACTGTAAGGTGCAGGCTTCTGAATGGGAGTTTGTTTTGAGCAATGGGTTTTAAAACGTCTTTGTAGAAAAGCTTTATGCCTATGGATGGTTTAAAATACACCCCAATTCTTTATTGTACGCAGGGAAGGATTTTTTTTTTTTTTTTTTGAGATAGGGTCTGACTTTGTCACCTAGAGTGCAGTGGCGTGATCTTGGCTCATTGCGGCCTCCACCTCCCAGGCTCAAGCAGTCCTCCTGCCTCAGCCCCCGCAAGTGGCTGGGACTACACATGAGCACCACCACACCCAGCTAGTTTTATGTGTTTTTCATAGAGATGGGGATTCACCGTGTTGCCCAGGCTGGTCTCGAACTACTGAGCTCAAGTGATCTGCCTGCCTTGGTTTCCCAAAGTGTTTGGATTACAGGCATGAGCCACTGCACCCAGTCAGGACTTTTTATTCAAATGGATTTTTCGGTTTTCTTTAGGAATTAGGTGATGCTCAAGAGGAGAAATCAGATGAAATAAGTTGAAAATCTAAATTGTGTGTTATTTTTTAAAAAATGCAGTTTTAATATTTTCAAGTAGATACAGAAATACCAAATAAAAATGTTGTAAAGTATAGGTTATAAAATTTTGTTAATAAATGAAGATTGTTTACAGTTAGCAGAGTTCATTTTATTTTTACTCAGACAATTTAAAGTTCGACACTCATTTATTGAACAAATACTGTTAAATATCTACCGTGTGCCCAGTCAATCACCTTGTAGTGTGCAGAACAGATTCAACATGGACAAACTAGGCTGGGAGGAGGCTGACGAGTTTGTCGTTTTAAGGCAGGTGAGAGATTATTATGGCCTAAACTAATTAATGTGTTAGGTGTTGGGATGGAAGAAAACAAATAATTTTAAGAGATTTTAAAAACTCTTTTTTGATACAATATGGAATGCATGTAAGAAATAGAATAAAACAGGTGTATAGTTAAGTAAATTATAAAGTAAGCACCCTCATAACCACTACCTAGGTCTAGAAATAGAACTTTCACAGCCACCCAGAAGTCCTGTACGTGAACCAACCCAGCCAGAACTCTCCCTTCCCTCTAAAAGTAACCAGTGTTCTGGGTTTTATAGTTATCATGCCTTTGCTTATTATACTTATCACATCTGATCCTTACTATCATAGTATTGTTATCTTGTATTATATGTTAAATTAATATCATTCCTAGGTATCATCCCTAAGAATTATGTCTTTGTTTTGTCTGTTTTTCAAAAATATGCTTTAAATCTCTTAATTACCGATTTGCCCTTAATTCCTCCTTTTTTTTCTCGTGCAGTTGGAGCATTTCTTGGCTTATTAGCTGGAATGACAATTCCATCATCTTTGTAATATCCATGTTTATTTCAGTGGAATGACTTCTCTCCTGGTTGTAGGTCATATTTTCCTACTTCGTGTGTATAGAATTTGTGGTATGATGGACATTTTGGACACAAGGTGATTGAGTATCTGGATTTTGGTACCTTCCTTAATGAAGGGTTGTTTTGTCTGGCAAGAGTTAATTTACTTGGGGATTAACTTGATCCTTTCAAGACTTGCTTTTAAACTCTGTTAGGCCTGGTTTAGAATAGCCTTTTCTCTAGGCTACATCAGCTCTACTCCTAAGCTTGACCTTTTAGTGTCTCTACTAAATGCCTCTGCTGTTCTCCCCACTATTTGGAACTTGAATTTTTCCCAGCCCTATGGGGTTCAGGTAGTTACTCAACTCATGGCTCTCTGATAGTTGCTCTTTCTCCAGTAGCTCTTGATCTTATTTTGTGGCAGCTTGCCCTATACATGCACAGCTTAGTATTTGGCCAAAGACTCAAGGGGACCCTTGTCAGGTTAGACAGTGCTGCTTTTCTGGTAAGCTCCCTTCTCTGTGTTTTGTTTTTAATTTTTAATTTTTTTTTTTTTTTTTGAGACAGAGTCTCACTCTGTTGCCCAAGCTGGAGTGCAATGTCGCGATCTCGGCTGACTGTAACCTCTGCCCCCCAGGTTCAAGCGATTCTCCTTCCTCAGCCTCCCGAGTAGCTGGGATTGCAGGTGCCCCCCACCATGCTCAGCTACTTTTTGTATTTTTGGAAGAGACGGGGTTTTGCCATGTTTGCCAGGCTGGTCTTGAACTCCTGGCCTCAAGTGATCTGCCCGCCTTGGCCTCCCAAAGTGCTGGGATTACAGGCGTGAGCCATGGTGCCCGGACCTCTGGTATTTTGCTCCGCAAAGTTTTGCAGATTAATGGGAACCTTACTCATTAAACTGTCTTTGGAGCTTTGCAAGACTGCTGTTCTTTGTTTGGGCTTTCCCTCCCTACGCCCCATACTAGACATATCTGGGCCATCACCTTGTTTATTTTCTCTCAAGGATCATAGTCCTGTATTGCTTGTTATCCAGGGTCTGAAAACAGTTATTTCATGCATTTTGTTTAATTTTATGATAGTTTATGACAGGAAGGCCCATCTCACCTTATGGTCAAAGTGAGAAGTATAATGGTAAATTTATTGAAAGATTTAAAGCAGATTAATGCCATGATTTGTGGATATTTTATCAAGATCACCCTGGTGCTCTCTTGAAAATAGACAAAGGAGGTGGAAGAAAGCTAACTAGAGGCTGTTGCAAACTAGACTGGAAATGGGGTGAAATGGTTAGACTCAAGAAATACTTCCGCACTAGAACAGTTAGGACCTGCTGTTGACTTGGTTGTGGGAAATGAATATCAGGAGGAGAAAAAGGAGAGCTTTGGTGTTTGGCTTGAGCCACTGGAATGGCAGTGCCATTTAATGAGACAGAGAAGACTCATCTCTCATCAGAGTCACCAGATGATGGGTGAGATTGAAGAAGAGGAAATCAAGAATTTTTTTTGATAAAATAAGTGTGAGTTGCCTGTTAGACATCTAAATAGAGATGCCAAATGGGCAGTTGGATGTATGAGTCCTGAAATCAGAGCAGAGGGCAGGCCTAGAAATTCATCAGCATTTCCGTTGTATTTTAAACCATGTAGTAGATTAAAGAGTTTAGATGGAAAAGAGAAAAAGGTTAGAACTGATCACCTGGTCACTGGTCTAATTTAGACCTGGAGGTCTGATTTAGAAGGAAGAACCTGTGAAGGAAACAGAGAAAGTGCAACTGGAGAGTGAGAACTAAAAACAGGAGAGTGTGATGTCCTAATAGTCAAGAGAAAACAAGTGTCTAGGAGGGATTGGGCCGTTGCTTTGAATGCTTCTGAGAGTTCCAGGGAGATGAGGACAGAAATGTGTTTGTTAGAGTTGGTAACTTAGAATTCGTTGGTGGTCTTGATGAGTTGTTTCAATGGAGGGGTAGAGAAACAAGCCAGATTAGGCTGCTTTTATGAGGTAAAGGGAATCTTGTATGTCTGAAATATTTTAAAATTAATTAAAATAAAAAGAGTGAATGGGAGAGGGAGAGGAAGAAGGAGAGATAGCAGGTGTGGACCAGCTGTCTTCAGGGCAGGCATTTGAACACCTTGGAGTTCACAGAGACTCTGCAGTGGTGTGTGGGCAGTTTCAGATTCTCAACTCCCATGTGTCATTCTCTGGATTTTAGTTGGCCGAAAACATACCTGTGAGATCATCTTTCCCCTCCCTTTTTATGGTTGCACTTTGCCCACTCTAACTCCTGTTCATCCTTCAGCTCTCAGGTGTTCCTTAGGAAACTTTACAAGATCCCAAGACTACGTCAGGATCTCCTAATTACTCTCTTACAGTATTGTGGATATTTTCTTTATAACACTTTTTACATATGAATTATACAGTTACTTAAAAAGTATTTTCATTCATTTGACAAATATTTGAGTACTATCATTGTACTGTGTATTGTTCTGGGTGCTGATATACATCAGAGAATAAAAAAGAAAAATTCCTGGGATAGGAGAGACAAACAATAAACAAACAGTTATAAATACCAAGAAAAAAGTAGATCTTGGTTAGGGAGATTGGGGATGTATATTAGAGTCAAATCATAAGTGAAAATGGGGTAATAAGGATGAGCCTGCTTGAGACTTTGATTTTTTTTTTTTTTTTTTTTTTTTTTTTTTTTGACAGAGTCTTGCTCTGTCACCCAGGCTGGACTGCAGTGGCACCATCTCGGCTCACTGCAACCTCCACCTCCTGGGTTCAAGCCATTCTCCTGCCTCAGCCTCCCCAGTAGCTGGGATTGCAGGTGCGCACCACCAGGCCCAGCTAATTTTTTTGTATTTTTAGTAGAGATAAGATTTTACCATGTTGGCCAGGCTGGTCTTGAACTCCTGACCTCGTGATCCACCCGCCTCGGCCTCCCAAAGTGCTGGGATTACAGGCATGAACCACCGCTCCCAGCCGAGACTTTGACTTTTGAACAGACTTCAACAGTTAAGGGAAGGAGAGAGCCTGTCAAAGGGAGCAGTGAGTGAAAGGCCTTAAGTCAAGAGGGTGACTGACATGTTGAGGAAAAGCAAAGAGGTGAGTCTGGCTGGAGCCGACTGGATGAGAGAGAGGAGTATAAGAGATGAGGCCAGAGAGGTAACAGGGCCGGATCATGTAGAGCCTTCTAGGTCAGCATAAGGACTGTGACTTTTACTGTGAGTAAAACGAGAAGCTTTTGATAATTGCAAGCATATTTTGACTTCTGCTTTAAAAAGATCACTCTAGATGCTCTATTGTGAATGGTGAGATAGATTTGGGAGACTGTTGGTGTAATCCAGGCAAAAGATAATGGTGGCTTAGAGCAGTGTGATGGTGGAGGTGGTAAGTTTCAGGATATATTTTGAAAATGGGAAGAGCAGGATTTCCTGATGAGTTGGATATAGGTGTAAGAAAAAAAGAGACTCCTATGTTTTTGGCTTGAACAACTGGCTGGATGCATACCATGAATCAAGGCAGGATGAGTGAAGCAAGTTTAGAGGGGAAGGCCAGGAGGTCACTTGCAGATGTGTTAACAGTGGGGCAGATATTTGATACTCCAGGAAAGTAAAGGTACATACGAGTATGGATTTCAGTAGGAGGTAAACATTTGGGAGTTATCAGTATGTGCATGATACTGAACGGTAAATACCAAGGGAATGAGTATAGGTGGAAAAGAGAAGCCTACAAAGGACTGATGCTTGGGACACTCCTGAGGAGTTGGGAAGAAAAGCTTAGGGTAAGATAGGAGGAAAAGCTTAGGGTGCCATACCTTGAAAGCCAAGGAAAGAGAGTAGAATAAGGAAGAGGGATTGAGCAGTTGGGTAAAATGCTGCTGGTCAGGTACAGTGACTAAGGATGCATCATGGGTGCTAGCAATGTGGAGGTCGTCAGTGACCCTGATGAATTGCATAGATGATTATTTGATTAAACTCTATTTTTCCTATTAAAGCTTCCATGATAAAAGGGACCAAATATGTTATTTCTCATTATTATATCTCCAAAACTTAGTTCCTGGAGTGCATAAATGGGATAAATACATAGGTCCCAGAGCCTCTGGGAGGACTAGAGAACTGGGCTCCGAAGTTATATAGACAAGAATAATGCCTCGAATCAATCACACTTCTATATTGCTTTAGTGATGACAGTGCTGCGTGGCACAGGCATGTGAGTGTGTTACGCCGACATCACTGACACTGCTCACCACCACTGGAGCCTCTGCTGTTGGTGTGTCTGGAAGCCTGAGGTAGCTGCTGCCTCTGCCACCCACTGCTGGAATTGTCTGTAAATATTCATGTCCCGGCTTCTTCATGTCACAAGATTCTGTTTCAAAGTACATGACGAATGTGTCTGATTGAGGTGATTAGGTCATGTACCTGGGCTTTAATCACAAGAAAGGCTGGGCAACAAGTATGTGGCATTTTCAATTTCTGTTGTGGGAGGTAGACTCTGCCTTTAAATGTGGAGTTCCCACACATGCTAAGGAATTCAGATATCACACGGCGAGGAAGAGTGATGAATGCCTGCCACGGTGCGAGATAAATAGATTTTGTGGGGTATACGTGTAAAGGTAATAGTTGAAACCATAGGATTAGGGAAGGGCTATTTTGGATGGTTATTTGTACGGGTTGTTCACCAAACAAGAGCTTCCTGCTGATGGAGCCCGTAGGCCCTAAAATTCAGCCTGTGCTTCATGGTGATGTTGCATCTACCCAAGAAGGGTTGCTTTTTTTCTAATTCGCATAAAGTTACTCTGTGGATTAGTGAAGGCTTTGGATTCAGGCTATAGAATCCAGATGTTCCAAGGACAGGAATTTAGAAAATGTCTGCAGGTAGGAAAGGAAAAGGGTGGAGTTTAGAGCTAGGATAATTCTTTAATGGAAGCCGGTTGAAAATTTTAAAGACGTTCCTTCTTTAACTTAAATTTTTTTTTTTCTGGTACCAGCTAGAGTTTGCAAAGGAGGTGAACTGACAATAACTATTAGGTTTAGAAACAAGGAGGTTTTTTATTTGCTATTTTAGATCGTATGGTTCAGTGGAGAGGTGAGGATAGAAACTGGCTGATCATTCATTCATCATTCATTCCTTCATCTAACAAAAGAGGAACAGATAGAGAGGAGAAGTAATTTTTAACGACTGCTTACATATCAGACAGTGCCTGAGGAATACAGAAGACAGTTTCTAAAAGAGTTCACAGTATGGTATGTTAGAGAAGAAAAACTATTGCTAATACAATGGGGTAAGTGCTCATGGAGCTATGTAAGCTGTGTAGCATGCTGTATGAGAAATAGGAGGTGTACAAAATTCAGCACAGGAGTAGGAAGGGACTAAAATATTTCCTTTCTAGCTAATTCTTGAACGTTTGGTAGCCATTTCATTCATTCAGTATTCATTCCTTAAATGTCTATTAAGCGCTTACCAGTGTGGCAGCTACTGTTGTAGGTGCTTTGGATCCATCAGTGAATGAATGAAACAAAGATCTTAGCTTTTGTGGAGCGTACATTCTCGTAGAGAATAATAAGTAAACATAATAAATCATAAAATATGTTAGAGGGTAAGTGCTATACACAGGAAAAAGTAGAGCGAAGTAAAGGGGAAGGACACATGCGTTCTTTTTTGGCTGTGTTAAATTTTAAAATAAGGTGTAGATTATACTGAAAACGTTGAACATTCATTTTGTTATGAAAAATTTCAAGCCTACACAAAAGCAGTAAGAACTGCATGATGAATCTCCACATGCTCATCACTCAGATACACCAGTTTCGAAAATTTTGCCACACTTCCTCCATGTATTCTTTTTTCTTTTTCCTCTTTTCTTTACCAAAGATTTTAAAGCCAATCCCTGGCATGACGTCATTTTCCTCTGCAGACTTTAATATGCGTCTCTAAAATATATGGACATTTTCTTGCATAGCGACAATGGCATTATCACAACAACTAAACCTAATACTAACACAAAAGAGGCATTTGAGCCAAGACTGGAAAGAAGTGAAGTCTTCCCCTAGCAGCTTGTGCAAAGGGCTTAAGGATCAGGAGCATGCTTAGCATATTTGAGGAGCAGCAAGGAGTCCATAGTGGCTAAAGCATGGAGACCCAGGGAAGAGCGATGAGATGAGGCCTTTGCAGGCTGCCGAGAGGACTTGGGCTCTAGTTGGAGTCGAATGGGGAGCCATGACAGGGTTTTCAGCAGAGGACTGACAAGGACAACTTTATGTTTACAAGGGTCACTTGAAGTGCTCCATTAAGAAAACACTGTAGTGGAGCAAGATAAAGCAGAGCTCAGTTAGAAGGTTGTTATGGATTAAAAGGTATATTTTTGTTTAGTGGTTCATTCCAGGTGGTGGCCGTGGAGATGGCAAGAAGTGCTTGGATTTTGGGTATGTTTTGAAGCTAGAGCTAACTGGATTTCCTGACTGCGGCTTGAGAGCGAAAGGAAGGCATTAAGAAGACTCATAGGTTTGTGGCCTGAGTAACAGGAAGGATGGAGCAGGTTTGGGGGCACCATCAGGAGTAGAGATGACATCTTGCCATGTTGCCCAGGCTGGTCTCGAACCCCTGGGCCAAAGTGACCCTCCTGCCTTGGCCTCCCAAAGTGCTGGGATTACAGGTATGAGTCATCACGCTTGGTCAGGAGTTGAGTTTTGAGCATGTAGAGTTTGAAATGTTTGTTGGACATGAAAGTGAGATGACTAGGTGGATAGTTAAAGCTGGAAGTAGGGAGAGAGGCAGCAGAAAGCATTCATCTCTGTATTCCCTGGATTCCCAAGAGCCTGTCCCCAGGGTACTTGGAAGTACTGACTGATTTATTTAGAGACATTCACAGAGTCTGACAAGAAAATCACTGAAGTGGTTTGGTAACCTGGAAGGCTCTGATATCCCTTCCTTCCTTTTCTATCCTGAACTCAGTAAAATTTGGGTAAAAAAAAAAAAAAAAGCTATGTTTTTCTGACATTTTCTGAACCTGAACTACTTAGGAAACTTGTTCAACAGTGTCATGTTTTTCTTCCTAACTGTAGCACCACTAGAGAGCGAGCTTCATCGTAGGTAACCAGGTGGTGGTTATTCTGGGGGTGGATGCCGTGGAAAGGATGTTGTCAACACAGATTGCTTTCCACAGCTGCAGTCAGCAATGCAGACTGATTGTGATGGTATTTATTTCTCCTTTTAAAAGGGAGCATTTCTAATCCCCATTTTGGATCATTTGGAATTCTGATTATATTTCCCGGAGTTATGTGGAAGATTGACACACAACCTGAGGATGTGAAATCGTAGTTTCAGCTGTTATGGTAGCTCGTGTCTGTGTGACTGATTTTAAATAACTAGGTGTTCAGAGATAGGGATCCTCCTATGCCTGCATGGTTGAGTGAGCCTGAATGCAGTCTGTGGATTCCCTGATTCACAGGGAAAGGTTGGTAACACAGAAGGGGTCATTGTCTCATAAGGCTGTAGTGATCTTTTGCATACATCGGCTCTCACTCCTCTTTGAAAAAAATGAGGGTGAACAGGAGAGCACTGAATCTCTTTCTGCCTCTTTTCTACAGGAGATGCATCGAAGGTTTGAGAATGCTCCTGATTCTGCCAAAACAAAAGCTCTGCAAACTGTTATTGAGATGAAGGTAAGTGAGAATCTAGTAAAGAATCTTATGAATTACCTTATACTTTTAAGTGATCAAAAACTTCCATGTGTGAGTGTTAGGAAATGGCATGTAATAGTATTTCACTTATTTGGAGATTAAGAGTGAGAATCAATGAAAATGACATCTTAAAAGAATTTCAGTTTTATTTCCTTTTACTTGTAGACCATAATTCAAATTGGACCAAAAAGAGTTGAACAGAATTTCTTTAAATCAGCTATTCGCAGATGTCTTGGTCTCAGGACCCCTTTATTCTCTTAAAATGACAGACTCACTTCCTTCATTTTAAGAAAATGTCTGCCAGATACCAAGTCTGGGTAACCATAGCTTGTCAGTTTTCTTTCAAGTAAAAATAGTGTTCCGTGAAGAAAATACTGAATTCAGTTTACAACTCAAAGCAACACGAGTCCTGTGCTTAGGGACAGCCATCGTATTTCAGTACGCAGCTTCATTCCATTTGTCACACACAATATTAAAAGTATGTGTACTCCAGAGTTGAGATTTTTTTTTATTATTTTTTATTTTTATTTTTTGAGATGGAGTCTCGCTCTGTCGCCTAGGCTGGAGTGCAGTGGCGTGATCTTGGCTCACTGCAAGCTCCGTCTCCCGGGTTCACGCCATTCTCCTGCCTCAGCCTCCCAAGTAGCTGGGACCACAGGCGCCTGCCACCACGCCCAGCTAATTTTTTGTATTTTTAGTAGAGATGGGGTTTCACCGTGTTAGCCAGGATGGTCTCCATCTCCTGACCTCGTTATCCGCCCGCCTCGGCCTCCCAAAGTGCTGGGATTACAGGTGTGAGCCACCGCACCTGGCCAAGATTTATTAAAAGTAATACTTTTTACTGCTTCTTCAAGGGCGGTATTAAATGAAGTAGTCTTTTAAAAATTTTATTTCTTATTTTTCATTTTTTTCCTACAAGTACTTGACGTGACAAATATTAATATAATGACTACAAGTATGGTTTGATGCCATTGCCTTGATTTGTGCTAAGGCACTAGCAGTTTTGCCCATCATTGCTGTATATCTTTAGTGCAGACAGTGGAAAAGTCAAGTGACATCATGGTATTATTGTGAAAATAGTTTTGATCATGCATACTTTGTGAAAGGGTTGAGGGTACCCTGAGAGTTCCATAGACCATCCTTTGAAAACCTCTGCCTTAAGTTAATGAATATTTAGAAATCTTTAGGCTGTTCAGTATAGTGATTAAGAGCTTGCTTTCTAAGTTAAACTCCCTGGATTCAAAATCTCGCTTCACTTAACCAACTGTAAGATATGGAGCAAATTACCTATGCCTCAGTTTCTTTATCAACAAATGGTGATAGTAATAGTACTCATCCAGTGGGTCGTTTTGAGGTTTAAATTAGTTAAAACATGTAAAAACACTTTGAACAGGACCTAGCGCATAGTAAACATTCAATCCATACTAGCTGTTGCAGCTGTTATTTTTGTTCACAATCTGTTCTTTCTCATAAAAGTTCATGTAGTTAGGGACCTCCCCCCACAACTACTTCTTCATATCCTCTAGAAAGCTCAATACTGTGTTTTGCATTGTGGGCCTTCATTTAATATTTGTTGATATGACAAGAATATTTAGTCAATGGTATATAAATAATTTTATGTAAATAGATACTTCTGAAGTAGTTATGGGAACTGTTGTCTTAATTTGGATGATTTCCTCTTAAAACTTTATATCGTATACATCTTTATTCTCGGTGGGGAAAGGATTTACCAAACAAATTCCGAATTAGTGGATTCTGGGTTCTTTGTAGTTAATTGGTAGTCTTGAGTATAATCTTGTAAAGGGCCTTTAGAATCGTTCAGTTGCATGGTTTTACCCTTTCCACATTCACCACAAGTTTGTTGTGTTATTTCCTGATCCCTTGTTAACACCTAAGAATAAAACACATGAATGTACCTATGTCCACAAAATGATTTGTTTAACTGCCTTTTGACAGAATGAGGACGAGTAATAGTATTACTTGGTGGCAATGGATGCATTTTAAGTTGTGTGAACCTTCAGCCATTCTGCTAAGAAGGAGAAAGATTCTGGTGGCCCAGTGGGGTCAAGAGGATGTGATGCTGAAATCACAACAGAAATAGCTGTGTTGCTGAGAATGTGGAATGAGCTTCAGAGAATTATGAAAATCTAGTGTAGTCTTTAGGGAAAATAGGGAAGAAAGGTGATTGAAGTAAAAGAGCCCAGTAATCTTGAAGGTGATGCAATTTTCTTTGCCCTCTCCTCTTTCGCCTCTTCTTCCTCTCTTTCCTCTTCTTATCCCTTCTCCCACCATTTTCCCTCATTCCAGCCTTTCCTTCTTTGTTCCTCTTCTTCTCTTTCTCTTCCTCCCCTTTCTCTACTATTTTTTTGTTTGTTTGTTTGTTTGTTTTTCCTTTACCAGTGGAGGAACAGGGAAGAATGACTGTACTGCTCTAGGGTTAGAGTTTTGCTGGGATAGATAAAGCAGAGCGAGTGATTGGGATGCAAATGAATTGAGGGTGATGATGACAGAGTAGTTTGGACGTTGGTCCTGGACTGTACCCTGGATCTGGAAAGAGTAAAATTCAGGTGGACTGACAGGTTGGGAGAAAATGTAAAAGTTAGGAAAGTGGAATTCTCTGTGAGGTTGAACAGGAAATAATCAGAGTGAGGGTATGACAGGCCAGGGGAAGAGAGTTCTGGATGATGATAGGATCCATCAGTCCTATAAACTGGATCACCCAAATGGACTGGAGGATGAGATCATTGCAATTAAGGGCGTCAAAGAATTCTGACATTGCAATCCTCGGATTATGGCAAGAGTGGTGATTGAAGGGGATATTGTAAGCCAGGTGCCAAAGACTTCCAAAAATGGGCAGGAGTGATGGAGAAGTCCCTGGATGGCAGCAATGGGGAGGGTAGGGTGAAAAGGAGTATGAGCTTTCCATAAAGGGAAACAGCCTTGAAGAACTGGGAGAATGTCAACCCTTTCCCCTGCTCCTTTGTGGTGTTGGGGTGTTATTGACCTTCACTGGAGAGAGTTCATGGGAAAAAGGTTGAGAATTTGGGGAATTTGACAAAGAGCAGAGGATTTCAGTAAGTCCAGTGGGATTGGTTGGTTAATGATGGAAGGGCTGGGGCTGGGGAAGTACAGAGTAGTAAAGTGAAAAGGAATTTTTTTATTTAAATATTACACATTCTAGGAATAAGAAACCTGGTTGGAATGACTTTCCTTAAACCCAGCATTGGTACCCGTTGGGTTGGTGCTAGAACTAGTTGAGAGTATCAGGCCTTAATTTTCTGGCCTGATTTCCTTGGTAGGTTCTTCTTCTGGTCAGTCAGTACCTGCCTCCTGGTTTTCAGAGCTGGAGTCATGATCCCTTTTTGGGAAGAAGGTTTTATGGCTCATGATTTGGTAGTGAGGGTGCTAATTTGTCAAAAGCTGCCTTTGTCTGTGTTTAGGGTAGGGGAGAAGTTAGATTATATTTTTAAGGGCCTTGTAGAGACTTTCTAGAGGCTCTGTACAGGTTCCGGCTGCCATGTGATGTACAGAGTTGGAGTTCTTACCTGGGACTAAATTGTCTTGAGTGGAGCCCCAGTGCTGCTGGAGATACACTTCCCTCTTTCAGCTGGTCCAGTTTCATTACCACTCAGGCTGATGACAGAGGAGAACTTACCTTTAACTTTCACTTTCTTTCATTTGTAGGCTAGTCATATGCTTATGCCTAGTATTTTAGTCTTTTTTAAGGTGCTGTGTTCTGATATTTCCAGAGAAATTTTATAGCAATCTTAAAAGTGAATTTTCAGGTAGTGCAATTGAAGTAGTACTTTTTATGGGTCAGTCATTCCACATGAGTAAATAAAAATCCTGGTTTAGGTATAGAATGACTCTGATTGTATTAATTCAGTACAATGGATTTTGAACAGGTACATTTTAAGTTTAATTTGAATGAATTTATAAAAGACAGTTTTCATTGTGATATTTTTAAAGGTCACGTGATGAGCAAGACAGAGGAATACATCCTCTCCTCCCCTCCCTTGAACCTGAAAATAGCTAGGTGTAGTTTTCTCGATATAAAGCCTTAATCTCTCTCATCTTTATGCTCTGAGAATAAAGGAGACTTAATCAAGAAATTATTGAGGTAAAGTAGAAAAGGAGTTAATTTCAAAATAGCTTCCAAAGGAATGGTTTATCTAAAACTCCAAGTGAAATAAAGCTAAGCTATACTTAATTTATGCTCTTTAAGGTCTCTATTTCTTTGGTGAGTAAGCACCTGCAGCTACAGATACATAAAACTATTCATTCCATGTAGGAGTCTTTCTGTAATTCATGACATGTAAAGTAGCCTGGGGAGAAACTAGGTACTGCGACAAACAAAATCAAGAGATCGAATATGAAATAATGTTCTGTTGGAAGGTGATATTTGTGGTAGAGATGATGGTTTATAAGGACAGTGATTTTTAAAAATTAAGAATTATTTTAAATGTATGAAGTACAGACAATAAGGATTGCTAACATGATAAATAACTTAATTATTCCCCCATTTTTCTGCAGTGGGATGTTA
Source organism: Homo sapiens (assembly GCF_000001405.40). NCBI lineage: Eukaryota > Metazoa > Chordata > Mammalia > Primates > Hominidae > Homo > Homo sapiens. The sequence continues at coordinate 82,785 of NW_013171809.1, forward strand.
TGTAATTTTTATTATTGCACATATAGCTGTACACGTTACTGTATAAATCTTTGAAACCCTCTTACTTTTTTCCCCTCCTTTGGGGCATAATATGTTTTTTAGGGGTCACCAAGTAAAATGATAAAATACTAGAACTAGAAAAGGCTTTACTATTAATATTGGAAATTTTTTTCACCAGAAATTTGTAATTTCTGATGCAAAGAAATTTTAACCAGTTTTTCATTGCATTTACTTCTTCAGTAATTTAGTAATTATTTTCAACTTTAATTTAAAGGGTGCAGAGCTGGAGGCAGCCATAGAAGAAAAATCATACTGTGGATATGAGTGCTTCTCCTCCCACTCAAATGGCTGTAAAGGACGTATTTTAGAAGGAAGGCACTGGCTGGGCATGGTGGCTCACGCCCATAAGCCCACCACTTTTGGAGGCCAAGACAGGTGTATCACGTGAGGTCAGGAGTTCGAGACCAGCCTGGCCAACATGGCAAAACCCTGTCTCTACTAAAAATACAAAAATTAGCTGGGCATGGTAGCGTACACTTGTAATCCCAGCTACTTGGGAGGCTGAGGCAGGAGAACTGCTTGAACCCAGAGGCAGAGGTTGCAGTGAGCTAAGATTGCGTCACTGCACTAGAGCCTGGGCGACAGACTCTGTCTCAAAAAAAGGAAGCAAGGCACCAATTGCCAGACAGCATTTTTTCTGTATATTTGTCTATCTTTATTAAATGTAACTTCTTTAAATATCATGTTATTCAGCTTTTCTGGGTTTTTGTGAATACTTCAATCACTAAATCTTCCATTGTCTTCAGGATTCAAAAATTTCCTCTATGGAGCGTGGGCTTCGAGACCTGGAAGAGGAAATTCAGATGCTGAAATCGAATGGTGCTTTGAGTACTGAGGAAAGGGAAGAAGAAATGAAGCAAATGGAAGTGTATCGGAGCCATTCTAAATTTATGAAAAATAAGGTAATGGCATGTGAGACTTTTGATTCTTAAAAGGAGTTTGAAAAATTGATGCATATTTTTTACTTCTCTAGTGATGATAAAGCCGTATTTTACACTCTTTTATCAGGTTTCAGGGAAGAATACTTTTAGCATAGTTCTTTCAAATGAAACTTCTCCAGAATTAAAGTCAGAATTACTGACATAGATAGTTACTACAAGTTTTTACTTATAAAGACAATTCTCTGTATGAGGCTACATATGTATTGTCATGGTTTAAGTTTTCATATCTATTAGTACTTCCGAAAAACTTCCAGATGAGTTTTTCTCACTATATGAAACATCAGGTTCTTTACCTCTTGTGAATTATTTAAAAAGTCAAAACCCTAAGAGGCTTGAGATGGAGTTTCGCTCTTGTCACCCAGGCTGGAGTGCAGTGGTGTGATCTCAGCTCACTGCAGCCTCTGCCTCCATGTTCAAGTGATTTTCCTGCCTCAGCCTCCCAAGTAGCTGGGATTACAGGTGCGTACCACCACACCTGGCTAATTTTTTGTATTTTTTGTAGAGATGGGGTTTCACCTTGTTGGCCTGGCTGGTCTTGAACTCCTGACCTCAGGTGATCCACCCACTTCAATCTCCCAAAGTGCTGGGATTACAGACGTGAGCCACCGTGCCCAGCCCTAAGAGGCTTTTTAATGAAATGGGTGAAATGAAGTTACGTTTCCCCTCCAAATACAGTTCTGTAACGGAAAGCCCTTTCTTTGCCCTATCCTGTGGGGAAGATCCACTTGCTGTCAGGTTTATTGCTTCCCATGTGCACTTCAGGCGTAATATGACAAAGATTGATACCACCAAGACCTATCAGTCTGTGTTTATCATCAGTCACAATGTTCCTTCCTTGTATCCAAAGTCATTTAGTTTGATTCTGTAAACTATTTAGGCAAGTTGGAGGATTTAGTTTATCACAATTATCAATTTACCAGTTTTGTTGTGGTTTCATTAAACATTATGATTGTAATTATAAAGTTTAAGCCAGAAAATAAGTGTTTTCCCCCTTTATTTCCCAGTTGTATTCTCCAGGTTCTTAGAAATGAAACCCGCAACATCCCAGTAGTGTGAAGGAATGATAACATCACTTCCCCTCCAGTTTCTGGCTTCTTGCCATGGTGCCCATACCTGGCATATAAGTCTACAGAATATTCCTCTGCTACCTCCAGACTCTATTATTAATTATTTCTACTACTTTCATTTCAGTTTTAGAAATTAAAAACTCACATACCCAACTTTTTTTTTTTTTCTTTTTCTTTTTTTTTGAGTCGGAGGTATGCTTTGTCGACCAGGCTGGAGTGCAGTGGCGTGATCTCGGTTCACTGCAGCCTCCGTCTCCAGGGTTCAAGCTTCAGTCTGCTGAGTAGCTGGGATTACAGGCGCCCACCACCATGCCCAGTTAATTTTTGTAGTTTTAGTAGAGACGGGTTTCACTATGATGGCCAGGCAGGTCTCGAACTCCTGACCTCAAGTGATCCTCCTGCCTTGGCCTCCCACGGTGCTGGGATATAATCATAGGTGTGAGCTGCTGCGCCTGGCCTCACATAACCAACTTTCTATTAGTTTGGATTTTTCACCCTGATTTGAGAACAAGACATAGTGCCGTATGATCTCTGTGTTTATGTTTTTCATTTGTTGATTAGCACATTCCAGTCCACTGTGGGGGGAAAAAACCTGTGAACTTAGAAACTACCTATGGCTCTTTGAAGAGGGAATGAGGGGAACAGATTTGATTGTATTATATAAGTTATTGTTATTTCTAGTTACCATTCTGCCTCAAAAGTAGACAAGAAGAAGACCTAAGTTGACACATAAGTGAAAAAGAATAATAATGTCGTGACAGGTAGAACAACTGAAGGAGGAACTAAGTTCGAAAGAGGCTCAATGGGAGGAGCTGAAAAAGAAAGCGGCTGGTCTTCAGGCTGAGGTCTTTGCCGTAAGATTTACCTCTTTGTGTGCAGTGGTCCCACAGTGGGACCCTGCTAGCTCTATGGCTTCTGGGTGGCTTACCCTTTCATTCTCTATGGTTGGCAGCTTTGCCCATTACTAGCACTAACCAGCCTGCTCTGCTCTTTAACTGACTCCTGTTCACTAGTTTGACCCACATGTCACTTTGTGTGCAGTGAGCCTTCACGTGTTCTGGAAGCCTTGTACCTGGTACTTTATTGTTGCTTTTGTCACTCTGTGGATGGTATTTCAAAGCCTGTTTCTTTCTCAACCCTTTATTGTTGGTTTATATGAATGGCGGCCTTCTTTTCTTCCTAGGTACAAGAATATATGCAGTTGTTCTAGGCCTATCACCTAGAGTTTATTTGAATTTGAAACTCTTGAGCAAAGTGCTTTACCTTATGTAGACATTATCTTTAAGTCTCCAGTGAGTGATTTTGCCACAAATGTTACTTTCTTTAGGACAGATGTATAGAAAGTATTTATCTAGTAAATTGAAATTACTAAGAGACTTATTTCAGGTATCTAAATCTAGTTCAATATTCTAATGAACTTAAAATTTCAATTCAGAACATAATAATAAAATAAATACAGTTGGCCCTCCATATCTGTGGATTTGCATCTGTGTGTTTAACCAACTGTTTTTTATTTTCAGGGTAAAAAAATGGATGTTGTGTCTGTGCTGAACATGTACAGGCTTTTTTCCCATGTCATTATTCCCTAAGCAATACAGTATGACAACTATTTACATTGTAAATATTTACATTGTATTACGTATTACAAGTAATCTAGAGATGATTTAAACTATACTGGAGGATGTGCATAGGTTATATGCAAATTCTACATCATTTTATATCAGGGACTTCAGCCTTCATTAATTTTGGTATCCAAGGTGTGTCTTGGAACCAGTCCCCCATGGACCCATGGATACCGAGGGATGGCTGAATAATAAAGTAGCTAACACTTGCACACTTACTGTAAACATTTTATAACGTGCTGAGTTAGACATATTATCAACTCCAAATTATAGACGAGGAAACTGAGGTAACAGAATGGTGCCTAGGAAAACACAGCTAGTAAGAGGCAGGATTTGGTTTTATACAGGCAGTCTTCTTCCACATACTGCTTACAAGTTCTTTACTGACCTATACTAGGCTGTGCACACATTTGTCAAAGTGTCAGCAAAAACTGCTTCTGAAAATAATTGTGGCTAAGACTGGAATAAAAAAATACAGCATTTAAAAAACCAAACTTGGGCTACTTTTGTAGATTTGCTATTTATGGTCCACTTTATAGTATATATTAAAAAGGGAAATATTTTGGTGGAAAGGGTCTAATTTGGTTTATGGAAACCATATATTGGCTAGAGGGAAGGTTGATCAATAACTTCCTTTTTAAAATAGCTACTATTAGTAATTTCTGCATTGAGTCAGACAACAGGCTAAGCACATTTCACGCTTTATTTTACTGAATCCATAAACAGTACAGTGGCATTCGTATAATTTCTCCTTATTACTAATTAGGAAACTGATTAGGAAAGTAATTATTCAGGGACACATAGCTAGCTTAGTTCTGATAGGTGAATGTCTGCAAAGCCTTGTGCTCCTAAGCTTTGTATTATATTTGCTTCCCCTTTATAATGTCTTCCCTTCTCAGTCTTTAAGGAAAATTTGTGCTTCTAAACTCTGCTTTTCTTTTCTTTTTTTCTTTTTCTTTATTTTTTTGAGACAGAGTCTTTCTCTGTCGCCAGGCTGGAGTGCAGTGGCGAGATCTCGGCTCACTGCAACCTCTGACTCCCTGGTTCAAGCGATTCTCCTGCCTCAGCCTCCTGAGTAGCTGGGATTACAGGCATGCGCCACCATGCCCAGCTGATTTTTGTATTTTTAGTAGAGATGGGTTTCACTATGTTGGCCAGGATGGTCTTGATCTCCTGACCTTGTGATCCACCCGCCTCGGCCTTCCAAAGTGCAATGATTACAGGCGTGAGCCACTGCACCCGGCCTAAACCCTGCTTTTCATTTAAAATATTTTCTTTTCTTTCTTAGTCTTTAAGGTCAATATAGCATTATTTGAAGCTTACTTAATAATGCAGATGATGACGAAACAGATTTTTATATTTATTTTTGACCACGTGATTGGAGGTAGCTGGAAATTTGAATAATCTTAGTCATAGTTCTTTAGCTGAGAAAATGGTAACACTTTGAACATCCCCCAAAATATTCATTCATACAACAAATGTGTTTTTGTTACAATCAGTGTGTTAGGGAATGGAATAGTGTTAATGGGTTGTTTTTATTGGTGAAGGGATATCATAAAAGACTCCACGTTGTTACAGTGTGTGCTAACTCTTGGGTACATACTATTTTGCAGGATGAATATAGCCACCGTTTAAAATTATCTTCCACTGATGTTTTTAGTATCCTCAGGTACTTTGTATACAATAAGCATACAGAAATATTTGTTGAATGAATGAATAACTATATCTCTAAAAAGAGATTTTATGCATATGAGAAAAATACTTAATCTTTTTTGAAACAGAAGGCTAAATTGGAAATTTATTTTTGGTGTTCCTCAAAGGTCTAATTTTAATTAATGTGAAATTTATTTCTTCATGGGAAATTGTTCTCAAAAGCTTTATCCCTTATACCTAAGATTATTACAATTACAATACTTTAGATACATTCAAGTTTTTGAAAATGAAAAGATAACTTTTTGTTTCATCAGTGACACCGAAATTACTGACTTGTCAAATGTATACTTCCAATAATTAGTATCTTTTTTAGTTCCTTGTTAGGTGGTAGACATAATTTAAAAGGAGATGTAATTTCTGTTTACATGGCTTCCATTTAGGGTAAAAAACTATTTTTAAAATTCTTAGAAAACAGGAATGTAAAGAAGGTGTTAGAAAGAAAATACTTTCAATGTTAAGAGAGAAATTAATCAATACACATAACATCAAATTATAGGATTTTACAAAACCATGTTATGTATAACATTAAAAGTGGCTTTTTAAGATAAGAATTTTATGCAAACTTTTGAGAATGAAAAAGATAACAGTGAAAAATTAGCACAACAGCAGCAGATTTTGAATTTTAAATAGTACTAGGAGGTTTCTAAAACCTTTTTTGTTATATCTGCACTCATCCTGCATTTGATCCATCATGTTCTGAAGAGGTCTCACCTAGAAAAATGAAAACCATTTCATCAGTACAGTGGTGTTCAGTTGCTTACTGCTGTCTCATAGTCATCTAATTGAATTGGAATTTCCTTTCCCTCCATTCCCTTTCTAAGAGGTTTCAAAGAATATTTAGAAGACACAATAAATGAAAACTGGACATTTCCCTATTGGTTGAATAAGTTTAGTGGTTTTTTTTGGCTCAGGGTTGGGGAGATCCAAGGTTATGTCATGCAAAAAGATGAATATGACCTATCACACAGTTCGTGCTGCATTTAGTTTCATATTTTGTGACTCAGATCTGTGAAAGATACAGATAAGAGGTGTTTGTTTTATTTCTTTTTTCCTTAAAGTGTTTTACTTCTTTTCTAGATTGGCCAGGTGAAACAGGAGCTGTCCAGAAAGGACACAGAACTACTCGCCCTGCAGACAAAGCTAGAAACACTCACAAACCAGTTCTCAGATAGTAAACAGCACATTGAAGTGTTGAAGGAGTCCTTGACTGCTAAGGAGCAGAGGGCTGCCATCCTGCAGACTGAGGTAGAAACAATTCTGGGATTTGTGGGGAGTTGGTTTCTTGGCACCTTTTCATAAGCGTTACCTGTGCTGTTTTTGTTATGTTTAGAATTGGGAAATATGAGTAATGTTATGATTAATTCTTCAGCAGCGTGATCAGTCACTGTGCTAAAATGTAACCATCTTATTTCAGTTGTTCTTAGATCTAACAAGTTAAAACAGGTGCAGTTTATGTTTTTAATTCTTTAAACTTTTGCCAAGTCTGTACTTCAAAGTATACTCTGACAGTATTAAAAATAAAAGGATAATTGTAAAAGAGAAATCATTGATTTAGAAGCTTCAGTTCAACCCCTGGTGAATTTTCTAGTCATGAATGACAATGAGCTTGGTTACACTGTGTTTGGAGTACATTTAAGTGTCTTTAAGTTGTGATATTATGAATAACTGTATATAGGAAACTGGAATCTGTTAAAGTTCTAGATAGTCTAATTTTAAACCACAGATTATTAGACAATGTGTCTTCATATCCTGTTTGAAAATAAAGTTAGTGTTTTTAGAATTTTTTTTTTTTTTTTGAGATGGCCTCTCGCTCTGTTGCCCAGGCTGGAGTGCAGTGGTGTGATCTTGGCTTGGCGTGATCTTGGCTCACCACTACCTCCGCCTCCTGGATTCAGGTGATTCTCCTGCCTCAGCCTCCTGAGTAGCTGGGATTATAGGCGCATGCCACCAAGCCTGGCTAATTTTTGTATTTTTAGTGGAGATGGGGTTTCACCATATTGGCCAGGCTGGTCTCGAACTCCTGACCTCTTGATCCGCCCGCCTCTGCCTCCCAAAGTGCTGGGATTACAGGCATGAGCCACCATGCCCGGGCAGTGTTTTTCAAAATCTTGGAAGATGATCTAGACTATTGGCTATGACTTCAGTTAGGTATCCACCATCTTCAGATAGGTATATGACTTCAGATAGATATTTAGTGTATTTGCTAAATAATCCCAGATCGATTCTTATCTATCTTACTTTCAATGATCGAAGAGAAAGAGTTGATGATACCATGTGGATTTACTGTCTTAATATAAATATTTTTTAAAGGTTGCAGTGAAATAGATAATTTAAGAATAGATAAGTAGTTTTGCTTTATAGAAGAAACATAAAGCATATGATGTAGATTAGCTTTTTTTCTTTAAAGAAAAATAAGAACATAATTTGGTGGAAAAAAGGAATGAGGAGGAAAAGAAAGAATAAAAACCTCATAGTCTTAGAAGACAAGAATCTTCCAATAAGGAAGAATGAAGAAGGAACCTAAACTGTTTCATGTAATATTTTTATCTGTACAATTTGGGGCTTTGTTAAAAATGGGAGATTTTAGCTGACATGTTTGTCATTTTTCTTATAACTTACACTTTTTCTATTTTAGTTATGTTTCATTTTGTTATGATGTCAGCTCCATTCTACCTCACAGAGATATTTGGGTATAAAATCATGAGATGCAGTAGTGGCTAAGGCTTTGGCTCTAGAGTCATGTTTACTGAGTTTGGACTTCCATCTTTACCACTTACTATGAGTCGCGTGATCCTGGGAACGTATTCAACTTCCTTACACTTCACTTTTCACGTCTGTAAGGTGAAGAGAATAGTAGTGCTTAACTCATAAGTTTGTTGTTAGAATTAAACTCGTTTATTTACTGCCAGTGTCTGGCACATAGTAAAGTCTTTGTACATTCGTCATTGTTATCATTTTATAATTCTTCTAATAAAATCAACTAATGCATATACTGTTGAGATGTTAAGAGAACATAGTATTTAGATGATCTGCATTTTCTTACTTTTATTAAGCTAAACTTAGGTTTATTCAGGGAATTATAAATATGAAATCATCTAGATAATGTTACCTGCAAAGTTATTCATTTATAGCTTTATTTTAAAAATTTTTTGTGGGTGCATAGTAGGTATATATATTTATGGGGTATGTGAGATATTTAATACAGGCATACAATGTGAAAATAAATTATGGAGAATGGCGGTATCCATCCCCTCAATCGTGTATCCTTTGAGTTACAAACAATCCAATTACACTCTTTAAGTTATTTTAAAATGTAATAGCTTTATTAATCGTTTTTCACTTCAGTAGCTTGAGTGCATGCAATACAGCAAAAGGGTCAGAAGAGGGTGCCAGTGTTCTAGAGGTCAGCCGCACTTCCAAGTTTGCTACTGTAATAGCTTTGGATGGAGGTGGCAGGTGTACAAACCAGAGAACCAAGCAGTTGGTTAATGATAATGCAAACATTTAAAAGCTTGTCACAGTCTAATAAATGACTTTTCCCCCTTGGCAATCCATGCTTCTCTTTGTACCCCCCTCAAATAATATTCTTATTAGCCAGGTCTCACCCAGATGGGCTTGTGATTGGTTTCTTGTACCATAGAGAATAGATTGTATTTATTGTCATTCATGAATGGTTTTTAGTTTTTAGCCATTGCAGGAGTAGCTGAGTCTCAGTGATTATTTCTGTAAGTTACTAGGGCCACTGCGCAAATAGAACCATCTCATCATAAAAGATAAAAGAATGAAAGCTAACTTTCTTTGGAATTTGGGATGATTTTAAGAATGTAATATGTCTATTTATTAGCATTGCTTAAAAAATTACTCTGGTGGCACTTGACAAGAGTCACCTTTTCCAATGTAACTTGCCAGTGTTAGAGCCCAGTAAAAGGCAGTTTATACCAGCTCTTTGAAAGTTTTCATGTGTTTCTATAATTTGCTCTTAGTTGATTTCATCTTTTCTGCAGCTATCCCAGACTTCGATCTAACACTCGGATTACTAAATTAAGTATATATGAAAAAAGAACATGGAGCATGGAGTTTTTCTTTCATTTTTATTTTTAGAGATAGAATCTTACTCTGTCACCCAAGCTGGAGTGCAGTGGCATGATTATATTAATAGCTCATTGCAGCCTGGAACTCCTGGGATCAAACGCTTCTCCTGCCTCAGCCTCCTGAGTAGCCAAGACTTATAGGCATGTGCCACCACACCTGGCTAATTTTTAAAACTTTTTGCAGAGACAGAGTCTCACTGTGTTGCCTAGGCTGGTCTGGGACTCCTGAGCTCAAGCAATCCTCCTGCCTCTGCCTCCCAAAGTGCTCGGATTACAGGCGTGAGCCACTGTGCCTAGCCTGGAGTTTAAAAAATTTTAAAAATCCTTTAAGGAAAACAGTTACATGTGAAAAGATCTGTTTGTTTTTTGTTTTGTTTTGTTTTTTTTGTTTTTTTTTTCCCTATTCAGGGTACATGGACTAAGGCCCTCTGGTGTTATACAAGGTACAGTATATATGGAATCGCTCCCGTTTTGTAACCATCTCTTTTAATCTGATGACTTTCACAGAGGTGGTCTGGATTTAGTAATATAGTGGTTAAAAGCATGGTCTTTGGTGTCAGACATAGGCTTGAAAACCAGCCCTCTACCTTTACTAGTTGTGTGACCTTAGAGGAGTTACTTTACTTCTTCTTTGTGTGTGTGTGTGTGTGTGTGTGTGTGTGTGTGTGTGTGTGTGTGTGTGTGTGTGTGAGATGGAGTTTTGCTCTTGTTGCCCAGGCTGGAGTGCAATAGCACAATCTTGGCTCACCACAACCTCGCCTCCTGGGTTCAAGCGATTCTCCTGCCACAGCCTCCCGAGTAGCTGGGATTATAGGCATGTGCCACCACACCTGGCTAATTCTGTATTTTTAGTAGAGATGGGGTTTCTCCCTGTTGGTCAGGCTGGTCTCGAACTCCCGACCTCAGGTGATCTGTCCTCCTCAGCCACCCAAAGTGCTGGGATTACAGGTGTGAGCCACCGCATCCATTCAGGAGTTACTTTACTTCTTTAAGCCTCCATTTCCTCATCTATAAAATGAGGATAATGATAATAACAACTTCCTAAGGTTTTTATGACTAGGTGTTTAATTCTGTTCTCATCTGAATATGGAGGGACATTTTTTTATTAATTTATTATTTTTTTTTTGCGACAAGGTTTCACTTTGTCATTCAGGCTGTAGTGCAGTGCCTTGATCATAGCTCACTGTAACCTTGAACTTCTGGGCTCAGGTGATCCTCCCACTTCAGCATCTTGAGTAGCTAGGACTACAGATGCAGGCCACCTCTCCTGGCTGATTTTTTAATTTGTATTTTTTGTAGAGACAGGGTCTCACTATGTTGCCCAGGATGTTCTTGAACTCCTGGCTTCAAGCAGTCCTCCTGCCTCAGCCCCCAAAGCACAAGAATTATAGGCAGGAGCCACTGTGTCCAGCCATGGAGGGAAATTTAAATTCAGTGGGTTAAAAAATTTCGAAACACCTTACAGTTTATAGCACTTTGATTTGATTTGATCTTTATTGTTTTATTTGCTCTTCATAGTAATGGCATGGGTTAGACAAGATAATTATTGTTGTTTTGCTTTTATAATTGAGAATTTTGTGAACTGCTTATTAGCATACCACTTTTGACTGGCACTTGAGGCTACTCTCACTAGTAACACTGGGACTTTTGATATATCATTTACAGTATTCTCAAGAATTAAAGTTCTTTTCTTGTTCCAAAATTGTGATGCTATACTAGGGACCTACCATTAAATGTATTTTCAGGATGAATTCTCAATGTGCAGAGCAGAGCTGATTGTATCAATAAGCCAAAATAATGTACACCTTACTGCTTCAAAGTAGTACAGGTTTTTCCCCTTCTCCAGGAAATTGTGTTTTGGAATTCTGTTTATTATAGGTAAGGAATATAATCTATATCTTAGTAATAGTAAGAGGAAGTGGTTCTTTTTTTCGGAGGTGCTCAGGAGATCAGCATCTAGCACAAGGTGAGGACCTGCCCTTGCTCTAGGATGTTTTGGCACTAGGCACTAGAGCTAGGATGCTGTTGTTTGACGTGCACCCTCTGCTTGCAGTCCCAGCCCAGTTCTGACTTCTTCAGCATACTAAGAGTTAGTAATACATTCTTAGAACTAGAGGGCATTTTTAGAGATCATCCAGTCTTTCCGTAATTTAAAGAATATGTATGATAATATCTAACCTGAGTCTTGTACCATGGAGGGTTTGTATACTTTCATTTTCCCAGTTAATTCTTAGAGTAACCTTCTAAGAAATAAGAATTGTTGTAACATTTTACAGATGGGGAGTTAAAACTTAGAGAGACTGAGGTTACATGACCTAGTGCCCGATCGATTCAAACCCGCAAACTTGCGTTCTTGATCATAACGCTGCAATTCCTCCCTGTGCAGAGAGAATATAGTGACATGCTGAAGGCCTATACAACTACTTGGTATTAGTTTTGGGACTGGAATTCATCATTTCTGACTTCGCTAATTATGATGTGCATAGACGACCATGACTCTTGTTTGATTGGTAGGTTGAGGACTAGCCACAAAGAAAGATGGGGAGAAGAAGAAACAATTCATGTTGGTAGAGAGGAGAAAAGGATTTAGGTTGATGGAATTACATAGCCTCAGAAAGAGATAGGCATCTTTTGTGACGAGATTGTGAAAGAAGAGAAAGATGTATTGATTGATCTCTTCATTCAACACGGTTTTGGGAGTACCTGCTGAGAACCCTTCTGAGCACTGGGGATACAGTGGCAAATGAAACAAAGGCTGATGATCTCTATCTCTATCTCTATCTCTATCTCTATCTCTATCTATCTCTATCTCTATCTCTATCTCTATCTGTGTCTCTATCTCTATCTCTATCTCTATCTCTATCTATCTCTATCTCTATCTCTATCTATCTCTATCTCTATCTATCTCTATCTCTATCTCTATCTCTATCTCTATCTCTATCTGTGTCTCTATCTCTATCTATCTCTATCTCTATCTCTATCTCTATCTCTATCTCTATCTGTGTCTCTATCTCTATCTCTATCTCTATCTCTATCTCTATCTCTATCTGTGTCTCTATCTATCTCTATCTCTATCTCTATCTCTATCTCTATCTGTGTCTCTATCTCTATCTCTATCTCTATCTCTATCTATCTCTATCTCTATCTCTATCTATCTCTATCTCTATCTATCTATCTCTATCTCTATCTCTATATCTCTATCTCTATCTGTGTCTCTATCTCTATCTCTATCTCTATCTCTATCTGTGTCTCTATCTCTATCTCTATCTCTATCTCTATCTCTATCTGTGTCTCTATCTCTATCTCTATCTCTATCTCTATCTGTGTCTCTATCTCTATCTCTATCTCTATCTCTATCTGTGTCTCTATCTCTATCTCTATCTCTATCTCTATCTGTGTCTCTATCTCTATCTCTATCTCTATCTGTGTCTCTATCTCTATCTCTATCTCTATCTCTATCTGTGTCTCTATCTCTATCTCTATCTCTATCTGTGTCTCTATCTCTATCTCTATCTCTATCTCTATCTGTGTCTCTATCTCTATCTCTATCTCTATCTGTGTCTCTATCTCTATCTCTATCTCTATCTCTATCTGTGTCTCTATCTCTATCTCTATCTCTATCTCTATCTCTATCTGTGTCTCTATCTCTATCTCTATCTCTATCTGTGTCTCTATCTCTATCTCTATCTGTGTCTCTATCTCTATCTCTATCTCTATCTGTGTCTCTATCTCTATCTCTATCTGTGTCTCTATCTCTATCTCTATCTCTATCTCTATCTCTATCTCTGCCTATTGATATATCTGTATATATCTATCTAAATCTCTGAAACAGCTGCTCAGAGTAAAAGAGGACTGGGTGCTATGAAAAGAGATAGGGCTTAGAATCTTTTTCAGATGAGTGTGTTTCTCTCACTGTTGTATGTGGGTTGTTGAGTTATGGGGTAGGGGTTGGGGGTGGGTGCTGCAGGGTGACACTGGTATGATATTCAAGTCTGCTTGTGAAGGTAGACTGGCTTTGGAGTGCTCCTTCCCCTTTCAGCATCCTCTCTATACCTGGGGCAGAGCATTTGTTCTAGCAGCGGTACAGATGATCATGCCAGAGGCGTTCTGATCTGGGAGGCTTGCTTCCTGCCACAACCACTCCCCCAGCTCCAGCTGGTGAGATGGCACTGCTTACGGTGGTGATGGGGTAATGTCTTGTTTGTGGGAAGATGTAGATACTGATAAGCTTAAGAAGTTACATTAAGTTACTTAAGAAGATAATGATAAGCTTAAGAAAATACAGTTACTTAAGAAGATAATGATAAGCTTAAGAAAATACAAGCATAAGTATGGCTCTTAATACGCTAGAAAAATCAAAATGGAATGTATAAGTTTCAAACCGTCAGAGTAAAACCCAGTTTACCCAGTGGAGAATAGAGAAGAATGGGGAGGGGAGAGAAAGAAATGTGATAGCATGTGGACACCATGAAAAAGAAGGCTGAGATAAGTACAAATCATGGGAAAGTCAATAAATACAAATAAGTACTTAGATCAAAATGAAAATATAAATCTCAGTTGGGCTAAAAAGATACAGAAAGATACTGTCAACAAGAGTTAAACAGACAAAAAGTAACAGCAAAGTTAAAAATACAGAGATAGAAAAAAATTTAAAAATAAAAGTTATATCAGGAAAATAGGCCTTCCCAAATATGATTTATTTTAATATTGATTAAATTATCTTTTAAGGCACACAGAGCAATGTTATATGCTGATAAAAGAAACAGTAGATCAAGAAAATATAACCGTGCCGATCGATGCACCTAACAGCATGGCATTTAAATACATAAAGCGGGCCGGGCGCGGCAGCCCACGCCTGTAATCCCAGCACTTTGGGAGGCTGAGGCGGGTGGATCACCTGAGTTCAGGAGTTCGAGACCAGCCTGGCCAACATAGTGAAACCCTGTCTCTACTGAAAATACAAAAATGAGCTGGGCGTGGTGGCACGCACCTGTAGTTTTCAGCTACTTGAGAGCCTGAGGCAGGAGAATTGCTTGAACCCAGGAGGTAGAGGTTGCAGTGAGCTAAGATCATACCCCTGGGTGACAGCGCAAGATTCTGTCTATAAGTAAACAAATAAATGTATATATAGCAGCAATGAGGTGAAACAGATAAATCAACAATTGTAGTTGGTCATTTGGATGTGCTCCTGTCAGAATTTGATCAAATAAAGAAGCATCAACATAAAGTTTTAATAACATTAACAAGCTCAAGTTCATAGATGTGTATATAGAATTTTGTCCTAACATAGAGAATAAACAATATTTTCAAGAACTTACTGAACAGTCGTAAAAACTAACCATGTACTGGGTCATAAAGGAAACTTTAAAATTCCCAAGAGTCAAAGTCACATGACTTTGCACTCCTAATGCAGCAAAATTAGAAATCAGGAGTAAAGATAGTAAAGTAGTAATAAAGGTAGTAAAGAACAGCAGCAGAAAACCAAAATAAGTATATAATCTTGAAACATACTACCAAAATGACCTGTGGGTTAAAGGAAAAATATAAACATTTAAAAATGAGTGGCAGTGAAAGCTCTCTATATAAAAATTTGTGGAACATAATTAGAAAAAAATCTGTGGGGTGTAACTAAAGCAGTATTTAGAGGGAAATAGCTAGTTTTTAACATATTTATCAGAAAATAAGAAAGAAAAGCAAGTAATCTAGGTGTTCAAATCAGGAAACTTAGAAAAAACAGTTAATCCAAAAACAATAAAGAATAATAAATATAAGGTGAGAAATTAATAGAGAATAAAACAACACCAAGAGGTAGTTATTTGAAAAAGGTTAATAGGACAGGAACAGCTCTTACAGATGATAAAGGAGAAGTAACTACTAGTACTACAGAGTTTAAAAATAATATAAGACAACTCTAAACAATTATATTCGAATAAGCTTGAAAAACAAGAAGAAATAAGTTTCTGGAAAAATATAAAATGACAGAAGAAGTTCAAGAGATAAGAGAAAACATGAACAACAGTCGTTATAGAAATTGAAATGGTAATCAACCTCATCCCTTTTTCCCTCCCAAATCCTAAGGCCCAGATGGCTTTCGAGGAGAAAATATTTGATATTTTCTTTCTTTTTTTTTTTGGAGACAGATTCTTGCTCTTTCGCCTAGGCCGGAGTGCAGTGGCACAATCTTGGCTCACTGCAACCTCCACCTCTCAAGTTCATGTGATTCTCCTGTCCCAGCCTCCCAACTAGCTGGGACTACAGGTGCATGCCACCACGCCCAGCTAATTTTTTGTATTTTTAGTAGAAATGGGGTTTCACTGTGTTAGCCAGGCTGGTCTCAATCTCCTGACCTTATGATCTGCCCACCTTGGCCTCCCAGAGTGCTGGGATTACAGGCATGAGCCACCGCGCCCAGCCCAATATTTGATATTTTCTATCAAATATTTAAAAATAGTCATTTTCATCCTCAAGTTGTTCCCCACTCCCCAAGAAAAAACAAGAAAGCCTAATACTCTACCCAAGGATATGAGGAAAAATAAATAAATTAAAAGATACTCCATGTCAATAGATGGTATAATTTAATCCTGCAGGGATATCAGTTTTCCTGAAGTTAATGTATATATTCTTCTGCATTTCCAATTAAAACACCAAGCAGTCGGCCGGGCACGGTGGCTCACGCCTATAATCCCAGCACTTTGGGAGGCTGAGGCAGGTGGATTATCTGAGGTCAGGAGTTCAAGACCAGCCTGGCCAACATAGTGAAAACCCGTCTCTACTAAAAATACAAAATTAGCTGGGCACGGTGGTGCGCACCTGTAATCTCAGCTACTCGGAAGGCTGAGGCAGGAGAATCACTTGAACCCAGGAGGCGGAGGTTACAGTGAGCTGAGATCGCACCACTGCACTCCAGTCTGGGTGACAAGAGCGAGACTCCGTCTCAAAACAAAACAAACAAAAAAAACAAACAGTATTTTTTAGGAATTCATTTTATTTTAAATTTTGTAAGGAGGAGTTACAAAAAGACAAATACTACATATGATTCCACTTGTCATACCTAGAGTCAAATTCATGGAGACAGAAAGTAGAAAGGTGGTTACCAGCGGCTGGGAAGGAGAGAATGTGGAGTTTAATGGGTATAGAATTTTAGTTTTGTAAGGTGAAATGAGTTCTGGAGATTGGTTGCACAACAGTGTGAATATACTCAACACTACTGAACTGTAGACTTAAAATGATTGAGATAGCAAATTTTATGTCTGTATATCTTACCTCTATTAAATTTTTAAAAATGTATATGGATGAATAAAGCTATTCTAACATTAAACAAAAAGAGAAGAGAAGATGGGAGAACCCTGCCCTGTGAGACATGAAAATACAGAGTCATAAACCAAACGAAACCAAACAGTGCACCTCAGAACAGTGCGGTAACTAGCACAGGAAGGAGCAGATATGAAAAGAACAGGGAGTGTGAAATCAGAAACATTTATGTGGAGAGATAGTCAGTCATAAACTAGTGCAAAATTAAGCAAGTATGAGAAAACTGACATACCATATGGAGAATAAAGTTGGCCACCTACTTCATGCTAGATGAAACAGTGAACTCTAGATGGATTAAAGACCTCAGTGTTAAAGAGAAACTATAAAGCTAATCAATAAAAATGTTTAGTAGGAATATATTGGGTAAGATAACTTAAATGTCTCCATCAAATTTAAGCATTTCTGTTCAAGAAAGAAAACCATTGGCAAAGCTAACAGATGAGATTGGGAGAAGAGTTTTTTTAGAGCCTCTTAAAATAGTAAGGATTCAGATAAAGAATAAAAAAGAGATGCTTGAGGCTAGGTGTGGTGGCTCACGCCTGTAATCCCAGCCCTTTGGGAGGCTGAAGCGGGCGGATCATGAGGTCAAGAGATCGACACCATTCTGGCCAACATGGTGAAACCCCGTCTCTACTAAAAATAAAAAAATTAGCTGGGCGTGGTGGCACGTGCCTGTAGTCCCAGCTACTCAGGAGGCTGAGGCAGGAGAATTGCTTGAACCCAGGAGGCGGAGGTTGCAGTGAGCTGAGATCATGCCACTGCACTCCAGCCTGGCGACAGAGTGAGATTCTGTCTCAAAAAAAAAAAAAAAAAAAAAAAAAAACCTCAAAAATCAATAGAGACTATAGGGAGAGGGAAGGATTTGAATAGACAATTAACAGATAAAGAAACCTAAGTGGTTAACAACTATGCCATGATATCATCAATCTTACTAGTAAATAAAGAAATGCAAATTTCAAAGATGATGAAATACTATATTTTGTTCATCAAATTGATAAAAATTAGAATGTGAGATAACATTCAGTGCTTGTGAGGATTTGGGCAAACAGTAACACAAATGACGTAGGTGGTTTCAGTAATCCCATTCCTTGGTATATTTCCCAGAAAAACTTTCCTGCTGGTCCACAAAAGGACATGTATAAGGATGTTCACCACAGTATTATTTGTGGGAAGAAGGAATTAAAAGCAGCATAAGTGTTTATTACTAGGGGGTTGGATAAATAAAGTATTGTGGATATGTACCATGGAATACTGTACAAAAGTCAAAAGCAGTGATGCAGAAGCAGGGATAGATATAAGTACTATCTATGTTTACTTTTTTTTTTTTTTGAGACGGAGTTTTACTCTTGTTGCCCAGGCTTGAGTGCGATGGCGCAGTCTCGGCTCACTTTACAGTACTTGTTACAAGTAGTGTGTTGTTTAAAAAACAGCATCCATCCCGTTTTTTAAAAGTAAAAAACAGGTTGAGGTATGTAACATTAATATAAATTGAAAACATGTATGAATATAAAAATCACCCTCTGTGTTTCTAAGATACATATTCAGGAACATATTAAAACATATTAGAATAGCTGCATATTGAAGGAGGGATGGGTATTGGACATAAATGGAAAAAGAGGAAAACAAAACAAGAGTAGAACTTCACATGAATCAACGATAACACTTGGACAGCGGATAGACCTTGGTCCTAAGTGAGATAGGGATCTGAAGCCAAGACCTCCGCATAAATCTAGTACTATCCTGAGAAAGGTCGGACGAGAAAAAAATTCCTCCTACCAGTATTAATGGCAATATGAGAGACTGACTTATTCTCCTTGGCTTTGATTTTGTGGAGAAAGGTCTCTCATCATGCAGGTTTGAGTTTGAATAGACATAACTGCTCTGAAGGGACATTCTCTCAACCTAGTACGTGTAGATTCCCACAGGTAAAAGCATTGCTTAGAATGAATTTACAATTCCACATTAGTTAATCACTTGTGGATTGTAATCTCCCCTGAACCAATAATGGGAGTAAGAACAAATGGAGTGATCAGACCCTTAGGAACGCTGGATAATAGAACGAGAGTATAAACTAAATGATTAAAGGACGGACTGAGAGGCATGGGCACACTCTCCAGAATGGATGATCAGATATGACTTGTTAGGATGTTGTTTCATGACTATTGAGAGCAAAAGCTGAAGTAGCACTAGGTTTTTAATTTTTATTTTCTTAATTTTTAATTTTTATAGAGACAGAACCTCCTTATGTTGCCCATGCTGGTCTTCAGCTCCTGGACTCAAGTGATCCTCCCAACTCAGCCTCTCGTAGTGTTAGGATTACAGGCGTGAGGCACCGTGCCCAGCTAGCACTAGCTGTTTAGTACAGTGTGTTTGAATCTTGGGTCTGCCACTTGCTGTATGAGTGTATACTTTTTTGCCTCAGTTTTCTCATCTGTGAGAAGAATAATAGCCTTACCCCATAATGTTGTGAGAATTAAATGTTAATTATCTATGTAGTAACACTCAGTAAATATTAGCTATTATAATTAATAAATGCATAAAGAAATGATTTAAAACGCGAGGAAAAAAACAAAGGTACTGTAAATAAAACCAACCGGGTTATAAAAGATCAAAACAGGATTTTAGACATGAAATATATAGTAACTAAAATGGAAAACTCAGTATATTAGTGTAGTTGCAGATTATAGAGAGCTGCAGGAACAGTTAGTGAATTGGAACATAGATCTGATGAGCTATTACCCAGCAAGCAATAGGAAAGATAGGAAGATAGAAATTATTAAAAAGAACTCTATGTAAATTGAGCCCAACTTATATGTAGGAGTTTCAGGAGTGGATAAAGAGAATGGGAGGCAATCTTAAGAGAGAATTGCTGAGAATTTTTCTGATTTTGATGATAGGAATGGATTCTTCAATTCAGGAACAAATTATTCTTGAGCAGGAAAATATCTACACCTACATACAGCATAGTGGAACCATAGATAAACTAATCTTAAATACTGCCAGGTAGACTGGGCATGATGGCTCACGCCTGTAATCCTAGTGGAGGTCAAGGTAGGAGGATCACTTGAGACCAGGAGTTTGAGACCAGCCGGGGCAACAGTGAGACTGCGTCTCCACAAACAACAACAACAACAAAACTAACAACAACAACAAAAAACTAACCAGGCAACAACAAGAAAAAAAACTTACCAGGTGTGGTGTGTACATGTAGTCCTGGCTACTCAGAAGTCGAAGGCGAGAGTATCCCTTGACCTTAGCTAAGGGCTTCAGGGCAGTAGTGAGCTATGATTGTGCCACTGCACTCCAGCTTGGGCAATAGAGCGAGACCCTGTCTCTAAAAAAGAAAACAACCTGCTGGGGAGAAAAAATACATTACGTGTAAAGGATTAACAATTAGGCCAACATCAGACTTTTCAGTTGCCACAACAGTAGTGAGAATATGGTAGCGTAAAATCTTCAAAGTTTAGTGAAAAACATTGGCAACTCAGAATTCTGTACCAAGCTGAACTCTCATCATTCTTCAGTAAAGATAGAAGAAAGACTTTTACTTTCAGATTAATACAAATGAGAGTTTACTACCCAGGATCCCTATGGAAACAACTGTTAAAAGATGTATGTTAGAAAGAAGAAAAGAATGAGATGCAAGAAAAAAAAACAGGAGATGAAAAGGCATTAATGTAACAGGAGAAACTAATCTAATATCAATATAATAGTATGGCATAGACCTTACAGTAATAGTGCCGTTACAGCCAAAACTCGCAAATCAATTGAGGTTTATTCAGTAAAGGTGAGGAATTTCAGAGAAAGATCACAAAAGGAAGAGCTTGTCTGTTGCTTCTCCTTGTTGGTATAATGTTGCTAAATAATACAGCAGGTGGAATTCTGCATCTAGATTGTTTCTATCTTCCCTGTCAAGAGCATAGGAATGAAATAAATGGAATATATATTTCTACAGTGGCAAAATGAAAATGAAGCTCAAGGTGTGTGAAGACAGAAATTGTAAGAAAGCGTAAAGACCTCTGCAATGGCCAGGCAGAGTGACTCATGCCTATAATTCCAGCACTTTGGAAGGCCGAGACAGGAGGATCACTTGAGCCCAGGAGGGTTTTCACATAGAGAAAGCTATAAGGAATTCTCCCTTTCTGTGAGGGTTTTCACATAGAGTTATAAGGCTTTGTTGATCTTAGTTCTGATACCAGAACGAGGAAGTGTTATGTTATGTGTTGGCTTAAGGGGTCAAAGTAGGTTGGCTGACTGCCATGCTTTATCAGGTTTGCAGAGGCCAAGAGTTCCTTGGGGCTGCATACCTGAATAGCACTTATTGCAGTATACTTTGTGTAGCCAATACTGTGTCTTCTTTGTCTGCTATGAGTTTTCAAGGGAAAATGAGTGAAGGTATCAACATTAATTTTTCAGAATATAAATTTGCGAAACGTATAGTCTTTTTTTTTTTTTAAACTATGTACTGTGGAATGACTCATTTCTACCTTGACTATTTTGATATCTGAGCTTTTCATCTTTTTGTCAAGTATGGGGTATCAAACAGAGCACAATTGCAGTTTGTTGAAACAGTACTCTAAAACAGTTTACTTCCGTGTGGTCTGTAATGCTGTCAGTCCCATGGCTCAGTGCCCTTCACGTAGCATTCAGCCTCCCATCTAGGTGGGAACAATGGGAAATGCAGTCATAGGATATATCATTTAGAGTGGACTTGAGCAAGTTACTTAATTAGTTTGGGCCTTGATTTTTCTCAGCTTTAAAGTTGGGAGTTTAAATTCAGTTATTTAACTGTTAAAAAAATTTATGAAGTACTGTGGAATACAGGAAAATTGTAGAAAATATAATAGATACCAGTCAGATTTAACATACATTAAAATAAAGAATTCTTAAAAATGTCTCATTCTAAACTAATCAATGGAAGATGTGGTTTAAATAAAAGTTATTAGAATTTTAGGTTTTTAGAACTAGTTGGGGCCAGGAATAAAGATTTGGAAGCTGTGGAGGTGGTGGTGAAAGCCTTAGAATTGGATTAGTTTCTCCAGAGGAGGTTCCATGCAGTGAGATGTGAGGAGGAGGAAATGACAGAGGATGGAGAACACTGAAAAGGTGTGATCACAGAGTTAGAAAGGAAAAGTGTCATGTTGGCAAAGCCAAGAGGGGAATGATAGGAAACAAGCCACATATCCATGCAACTAATTATTACTACTAATTTGCCTTTAGATAGATCTGTTTATTGATTTAAAACAAAGGAAAGTTAAGGTACGTTGAGAGAATTGGTTTTTTTTAATTGAGGCAGAGTCTCTCTCTGTCACCCAGGCTGGAGTGCAGTGGCACAATCTTGGCACACTGCAAGCTCCACCTCCCGGGTTCGCACCATTCTCCTGCCTTAGCCTCCCGAGTAGCTGGGATTACAGGTGCCCACCACCACACCCAGCTAATTTTTTTGTATTTTTTTTAGTAGAGATGGGGTTTCACCCTGTTAGCCAGGATGGTCTCGATCTCCTGACCTTGTGATCCGCCCCCTTGGCCTCCCAAAGTGCTGGGATTACAGGTGTGAGCCACCGCGCCCAGCCAGAATTAATTGTTTTTTGATCAGAAGTGAGAGGCCAAAACAGTAGGGTAGCCATTTTCTGTTCACTTCCATTGGTAGAGAAAACCTTGTAGACAAAAGCCTTCTGTTTTTATTGAAGTTGGCATGACCTGTTTGCTACAGACAAACTTGGCAAGTTGGGCGAATGCTGTTCCTGCAGCTCTGCTGGTGTGAATAAACAAGGTTTTATTCCTCCTGCCAGGACTGGTGTCAGGGCAATGACTGTGTGTGTCCTGCTGGTCTTTGAGGGGTTTTCCTGAATATGTTTTTTGTGGTTTGTAAAATATGGACCTCACGCAAAATTATACTACAAATTTAGTTCACTCCAAACCAAAAGATCAGTGTAGAATTCAGAGCAATTAATCTGGTAGTAGCAAAGTGGTTTTTGTGGTGGTTTTTATCTCAAATCTCCAGACTAGCATATTTGAATTCTGTACTGCACAAAAAAGCAGACTAAGACAAAGTGTACACAGGTGATGTGAATTGAATACTTAGTCAATAAAAGATCATTTAATAATTAGGGGTATGGACGGGCAGTTTCTGTTCCTAATATTTATTATATGAAATATTTTTTGTATCAAAGCCTGTGTTTCCAGCCACACTTATACTAAAGGTTTGTATGTTTATAACAAGAGTTCTTATTCTTTCCCTTTTCAGTCACCTTTTTCGGTCACCAATTCATACTTGACACTCTCTCAGTGCCGTGCGGGTATTTATGTCCGGTCAGCATTGACATGTTTCCAGGTCACTTAACTGAATCATGGATCCAATATAAAGTGCAGCTTGGGCATCTGGGTGCCTTTCATAAAGAGGCAGCAATGTGGGGTCTCACAAATGTTGTCCTGTGTGATGGTGGTGCCATCAGAATGAAAAACACTTAGAAGTGATGAGGGATGTGTTCCTACATACAGATCCATGTCCCGCAGATGGAAAGGCTTTTTTCTGAAATTAATGCTTAGAAGAACTGAGAGACAAGAAAATTAGGCAGTTGAGACTTCAGGTTTGAATGCCTAAGCTTTTTGCCTTTGTAGTAAGAATTTGTGTATTTAGGACATACAGGATAAAATAATGTGGGTTTTTTTTTTTTTAATTGAGACGGAGTTTCGCTCTTGTCACCCAGGCTGGAGTGCAGTGGCACAATCTTGGCTCACTGCAACCTCCGCCTCCTAGGTTCAAGTGATTCTCCTGCTTCAGCCTCCCGAGTAGCTGGGATTACAGGCATGCACCACCACGCCTGACTAATTTTTCTGTATTTTTAGTAGAGACGGGATTTCACATTGTTGGCCAGGCTGGTCTTGAACTCCTCACCTCAAGTGATCCACCCACCTCGGCCTCCCAAAGTGCTGGGATTACAGGTGTGAGCCACCACACCTGGCCGGTTTTTTTTTGTTTGTTTGTTTTTAATGAGGTGCTTTGTTTTTTGCTTTTGGTTAGAGGTAGTGGTAGATTAATATATAGTATACAAAATACAGATTAGCATGTAGTAATTAGATGCAAATGATTATGTGATTTATTTATTTTTCAAATTTCTGACATGTATACTTTTCTAAGGCTTTGACCTCCTTAACTGTGTAGAAGGGTCACCAGATTCAGTAAGCACCTTCGCCATGACTGATGCCTTGTAATGGGTTCAGCTAATAGGAACCAAACCTGACACTGTCAAATAGGATTAGTAGCAACACTGGCTGGCTTGAGCTGTGCCTGAATGCCAGTGGATAAGGGTCAGTGGGTTCTTTGGCATCTTGAGCAGCCTGGTTGTTGAATTTCATATTCCACTAAGGTCTTTACTCTGTGGTTGCAATCCTTTTCTTTTAACTGAATCAATATTCAGTCTGTTCTGACACTTCCCTTTTGGACCTTTTTTTGTTTGCATGGCGGAGTGTTGTGATTTTTACTCTCTTGGCAAATTTCAGGTATATAATACAGCATTATTAATTACACGCTGCTGTATATTAGATCCCCAGAACTTACTCGTTTTATAACTGAGGGTTTGTACCCTTTGATCAGCATCTCCCCATGCCTCTCCCTGTTCCTATCCCCAGCCCCTGGTAACCACCATTCTCTTCTCTGTTTCTTTGAGTTCAACTTTATTCAGATTCCATATGTAAGTGAGATCATACCGTAATCTGTGTTATTTCTGATCTCAGTTTTCACTGAATGCTTTTTGTCCTTGTATTATGAGTTGTGTTTTTCTGCTTCTTTGCTTGTCTGGTGAGTTTGGGTTGGATGCCAAGCATTGTGAGTTTTACCTTGTTGGGTGCTAGGCATTTTGTATTCCTGTAAATATTACTGAACTTTGTTTTGTGATGCTGGTAAAATACTTGGAAATAGTTTCATTCTTTTGGGTCTTTCATTTAAGCTTTGTTAGATGGTACCAAAATTGCATTTATTCTAAAGCTAGTCTCCTCGTGCACCCCCTCCCCCTTGATTATATTAAAGAGATTTGCAAAAATTTAAAACAATTATATTCTTCTTACTATTTTAGGGGGAAAATACAGGTTTTTGAAATTAAAATGTTACTTTGATTAACATAATGGGTTTATTGTTATTTAAAAGCTGTTCTAATTTTTTTTTTTTTTTTAAAGATACAGTGTCTTGCTTTGCTACCAAGGCTGGAGTACAGTGGTGTGATCATAGCTCACTGCAGCCTTGAACTCCTGGGCTCAAGCGATCTTCCTGCTTCAGCCCCCTGAGTAGCTAGAACTATAGGTGTGTGCCACCACACTTGGCTAATTAAAAAAAATTTTTTTTTGTAGAGATAGTGTCTTGCTATGTTGCCCAGGGAGGTCTTGAACTTTTGGCCTCAAGTGATCCTTCTGCCTCAGCCTCCCAAAGTGTTGGGATTACAGGTGTGAGCCACCGCACCTGGCCCTAATTTTGAGTGTAGCAAATATTGATAGATATAACTCACATAAATAAAAACTCAATAATTGGGGGTCCTCAGTAACTTTTTTTTTTTTTTTTTGAGACATAGTTTTGCTCTTGTTGCCCAGGCTGGAGTGCAATGGCGTGATCTCAGCTCACTGCAACCTCCGCCTCCCGGGTTCAAGTGATTCTCCTGCCTCAGCCTCCTGAGTAGCTGGGATTACAGGCATGCGCTACCATGCCTGACTAATTTTGTATTTTTAGTAGAGACAAGGTTTCTCCCTGTTGGTCAGGCTGGTCTTGAACTCCCGACCTCTGGTGATCTGGCCACCTTGGTCTTCCAAAGTGCTGGGATTACAGGCCTAAGCCACTGTGCCCTGCCGGTCCTCAGTAATCTTTAAGAGTGCTGAGGAGTCCTGAGACCAAAGGGTCTGAGAATGGTAATGGAAGGGAACATTCAGAACATTTGGGTGCCTGAGGCTTCTCTAGAGCAGGGTACTTGCCCAAAGGGGGCTTGGGATTTTGCTTCCTGTTCCAACCTAACCTTTGTGTTGCCCTGATATCTTATTTTCTGTTACTGGAGGCATCTTCCAAACTCAGTTCTCCAGGTCACGGAAACAAGTCAATGAAAAAGCAGGACAGGTGTCACTTCTGTTATAAGCTTACCACTTCGGGCTTCTAGTCTCTGTTTTCAACATTTTAGTGATGTTGTCTCTTTCTCTATGTGTACACTTCTGTATATGCTTATATGCATGCTGATCTATGAATTTGAAAAGAAGTTTGTTGTGCTTTACCTAGCATTTCTGGGTGTTTTGTAGCAGTAGGTGTGGTGGGCTGAATAGTATCCTCCATAAATCTGTGTCTACCTGGTACTCAGAATGTGACCATATTTGGAAATAGGGTCTTTGAAGCTATTATTAGTTAAGGTTTGAGATAAGATCATGATGGAGTGGGCTCTAAATGCAATGACTGGAGTCCTTATAGAAGAGAGAGGACATATAAAGATACAAAGAAGAGGGTGAAGTGAAGGTGGAAACAGAGATTGGAGTGATGCATCGTCTACAAGACGAGGAGCCAGGAGACAGCAAGAGGCAAGGAAGGCTCTTTCTCAGAGCCCTCATAGAGAGCAAGGTCCTGCTACACCTTTATGTCAGACTTCTAAACTCCAGAACTTGGAGAGAGGAAAATAAATCTATTGTTTAAAGCCACCTGGTTTGTGGTCCTTTGTTAGGGCAGTCCTAAGAGAGTAAAACAGTTAGGTTTTTCTGGATTTCTAGCT